>NC_000006.12:7635757-7787272 GCF_000001405.40 Homo sapiens | reverse complement strand
GCATATTTTTCAGTACAGATGGTGTATCTGCATATGTACAACTGGCCAGAAGACAAATCAACACATTTTCCCAAGAGCCGATCAACACTTAGTTATTCAAGGAATGATCTCCCAAACTCTTTACTTCTGTTCCCTCCCTGATACTGCCCTCTTCAATTGGACTTTTACTTCTTCCTAATATCTTTATCAGAAGATTATTGGAAAAGAAACTAAAGGAGGCTGAACTTACACTCGTCACTTTAGTTTAGAGAAATGGCAGCTCTGGGGAAAAGGATCATGAGAAAGAAGGATGTGAAAATCATTACCAGGATTCGGGGATCATCTGTGGATCTTAATTATTCCTGCTCTTCCTACCTCTGAAGGTCAAAGATATTATTGACAGCTGGCTGCTGGGGAAGTTTGAAATGGGACAAACTTGTCAAATTGCTGTGCCCTCAGGGAAACCCTCCCTGCTTTGACCCTGGATTGAGTCACCTGCATGGGGCTTTTCTACCTGATGTTCCGAGGGAGACATACATTATAAGTCAAGTTTTTCCTTCTTCTTTCTGTGTATTCTCATGAAGTGCTAGGGAGGGCTTGTCACTGGGGGCTGTCTGTTCTAGGCTGATTGAATCTACAGTTCTGATCCACATACACAATAGTACTTCTAACTCACAGAACAGCTAAGTCGATGGCCTGCCTGTAGTAACAGGTGCTGGTTGGGAGAATGTCATGGCATAGAATGCAAGGACTTGTACTAAGGAAGCATTGCCAAGGATGTGAGCTGAAAGGTTTCCAGAGGGATTTTATTTAAAAAAAAAAAAAAAAAAAAACAGACTAAAGAAGGGAAAAGCAGCTGTTTGGAAATAAACTGTAAAACATCTGTAGCACACGACCAGAATTCTCTAAGTGTGAGCATGAGGTTTTAAAGGGGCCTCATCTTTCATAAGCAACACTCCAAGCACAAAGCATATGCCACAGGCAGTCAGTCCTCTCCAGTGTTCCCAGTAGTAGAGAGGAGAGGTGTGGTGTGCCCAGATGTGCCATCATGGTGGGACGTCCAGCTTTTCTGGAAGCCACTGAGCACAACTGTCCTTTACCACAGCAAGTCACGGAGAAGGAAAAAAAAATCCAGAGAAAACTTCACTATCAGGAAATCTTTCCTTATTGCAGATGGAGCTTAGAGACCAAAGACGCGTGTACGTGCTTTCCCTCTACTAGGAGGCCGGGGCTTCTGCCTCCTGCATTTTCAAGACTCTTCAGGGGCACATTCGTTAATACAAGGGCAAAGAAACATTCTGCATAGTTTCTCTGGCTTCATTTGCATCACTGCAATAGAATTCAGAGATTTTTTTTTTTAATAAAGGTTCAAGGGTCTAAGTAGCTCAATTTATTTTTCAGTAACTAAGTTACCAGAAACTTGTAGCGTGGCTGTATTTATTTTCTGAAGGAGGCTCCAAGTTGGCAAAAGGGTCCTTGGAAGGACATATTTCTTCACGTTCTCTTGATCTCAGTGTGTGGAGATTCGCTTAACAGCTGTTTTATGTACAAGTGTTTTTTCAGCCATGTCCTCTCCCTCCATAAACAGACTTTTTTTTAAGGCAAAAGAAGTCTGCAAGACACAACAAAATACTAAGCTGCTCCTCACGTTCCTTCTAGCAGCAGACATGGGAAGAGTCTAAAATCAACATGTTGCACGACCTCCATTTATTCCTTTAATAGCTTCAGACCAAATTGGAGTTGAAAACAAAAGTGCCTCCTTCTCCTACTATGTCAGTGAAGGACGCCTTTCCCAGTTTCTCATCACTCAAAATGACAGGCTTGACATTAAATCCTATAATAAAACACAACCAATCTTACTGTGTCTGACAATTCTGAGTTTCTAACACCAAATAACTCTTCTGATTTACAAAGGAAGCTACAAACAAGCACTCAGTTATGACACATGAAAAGAAATTGAGAGAAACAAGCAAATTAGCCACCACACTCCCAGCTATATTAATTACAGCAATAATTCCTTGCACTTTAAAATATCATCTATTTGAAGAACATCCAACTTAGTAGACCCGCTATCTTCTTTGCTTCTTATGACACTAGTGGGTAGAAGACAAGTACTAGTCACTTTTTATAAAATGCTAAAAGCGGACCACCATAAAAGCTATCTGGTGTACTACCATACACCTTCAACCTTGAGGGGCCCCCTGCGTCTAGCTACCTGGAACAGGTGCTTGGGGCTGGGAGATCAGAATTCATCTAAACTTTCTCATCTCCATGACTACACTTCTTGGTTTGCAAGCATTGGTTACCCCTTGCCAAATGGGAAAAGTTCTAGGGGCTTCCCCTTCCTGGAGTGAAAAGTACACCTCAAACTGTAATAAACACACAACCTTCTTTCACTTCCTCAGCGTAAACTCTGCAGCCCCAGCAAGGAGGAGGTGACTGTGCAATCCCAAGGTAGAAGGCTGCCAAGCTCCTTGGGGACAGCTGGTCCCTCCTTTCCTCAGCTGCTCCTATTAGCTGTAGGTTAGCATCCTACTGAGAAAACAGACCACTTCAAAGTATGGTCCAAGATCAACTTACTACACTTCCTTCTCTTTTGTGTTTGATCTTCCCCCTTGCTCATATAAAACATTGTCATTTAAAGTTCAAAGGAGTTTGCAAGAAAAAATGAATTTTGCCAAATGTGTTAATTTTTTTTTAAAGCAACTCTGGAAAAAATATCTGAATTGAGACATGAATTTTTAAAAAATTTATCCTGGCACAGAGAAGCTTTATTTTGCAATAACACTTGTGATAACACTGTGAACACTTTACTATCACGTGATCCGAACACACACTCAGATGCCTACACACACTCAGACGCCTACACACACTCAGACGCCTACACACAGACCCATCGAGCACCATGAAAAGACAGTCGATTCATTTGGAAAGAACTGGTACTGAAGATTACTTTCATACTTTCATATTCCTTAAAAATAGATAGGATGGACTTAGATAATAAGAAGGGCAGAGGTACAAGAAGATAAGTCATAAATTTAATGATGAAACGTAAAAAAATGTCAACAATCACAAAAGGAAACTGGGAAGAAGGAAAGACTATTTTTGGTTCCTATGTGAAATACAGAGTAAGCAGGCTAGAAATAAATGCATCTAACATTTCTATATAATATACAAGATGATTTAAGCAAATTGCTAAAGAATGTTTAGATTCATTTAGATGATTTTAAAAATTGAACTTAAAAAGATTAACGAAAATAGAAATAGAAAGCATGTTGGGGAAATCGGCCATGGCTTTAGCCTCGTTCCCAAATACACATCTTCCTATCTACAAGGATGAAACTCTGTAGGGCTCATCCTGAGGGCTCATGTGTGGCATTTGGAGGGCAACAGTGACCAGAATTCCACAAGGCCTGCAAAATGTTTTAATGTCATTTGCTAGGAGACAGAAACCAAATAATAAAGGACAAGGACCATGCTCATTCCATGAAGAAGAGGTGAACTCCCTCTGCTGACTATTTGGAATGGACTGAATGAGGAGGTCTCCCCAGCCAGAAGGAGTATTGAGGTCATCAGGCCTCAGAAAACAATATGTACATAATCTCGGGCTGTGAACAAGAGAAAGGAGGGGGAAGACATGAAAGTCAATCTTAACAATTTTTACAATGCCTCTGATTTGCAGACCACTGGATTTACGTTATTGCGCCCTTGGCGTGATTTATCGTACGTATCTGATAGTTCTTACGAATTGTTTTGAGTTGTAAACTCCTATACCCTTTATTAAAATGGACCTAATTAAATGAAAAGAAAGCATGTTTCTATAGAAAGAAAATAAGTGGCAAAGAGGAATAAAAAATAGTTAAGACTTTTCAGACCCAGAAAAATGGAACCTTTGAAGCGACCCAATAAAAATATACAGCGTCATAGAGGACAGGAACAGCAACTGCTCCGGATAACTTTACATGTTATCTCATTTAATTTTCACAACAGTCTTATGGAGAAGATAGTTCCACTTTACCTTTTCAATCATCCATTCTCTCTCCTGGAGAGTGAGCTCCTCTGTCTCCACTGGTTCCTTCCCGGGGAGTATTTACATACACTCAGATCTCACCTTCTCTAATCATACAAATGCCACAAACGCTTCTTTGCTGTGCATCCTCTCCAGTGCAAACCCTTTCTCTCTCCTCTCCTTCACAGCCAGATTTCATAAAAGCTGTCTTGCCCCTATGTCTGCATTTCCCTATCTCTTATTTTTACTCTGACCCTTTCCTATTTGACTCTTGCCTAGATCTCTCTACCAAATGGATCTCAATGATCAGTGACCGCCATGTTGCAAAGTTCAATAACCAAGTTTCAGTTCTCATATTTTAGGATCTCATATTACCGAGATCTCAGCAGCAGTATTTTAAACTGTTAATTGCCTTTCCTCTTGACAAGCCCTTTCTCAGAACTCCGGTTTTCCTCTTATCTCTCTGGCTGCTCCCTTTTAGTTTCTTCTGCAAACTCAGTCCTGGGCTGTCTCGTCTGCTCTATACTCCTTTCCTGGGCAAGTTCATCTATACTTTTTTTTCTTTCTCTTTTTTCTTTTTTTGAGATGGAATCTTGTTCTGTCACCCAGGCTAGAGTACAGTCACGCCATCTTAGCGCACTACAACCTCTGCCTCCCGGTTCAAGCAATTCTCCTGCCCCCCAGGTAGCTGGGACTGCAGGCGTGGGCCACCTCACCTGGCCTGTTTTATATTGCTAGTAGAGACAGGGTTTCACCATGTTGGCCAGGCTGGTCTCAAACTTCTGACCTCAGGTAATCTGCCCGCCTCAGCCTTCCAAAGTGCTGGGATTACAGGCATGTGCCACCGTGCCTGGGCTGCTTCAGTTACTTTGTACACACAGAGCACCAAGTCCTATCCCTACCCCACCTCTCTTTCAGCCTCCAGAACTCTGTCAACCAAAGCCTATTCAACAATCCCCCTCTGATGTCTCAAAAACACCTCAAACTCAACACGAGCATGCCCCAGTTACAATCTCCCTCCACCAATCTGGTGTGGGGGGCTTCCTAGAGTTCCCTATCTCAATGAAGAAGGTACCCTCCCTTCCAGGTTGGCAAGCTGGAAGCCTGTGCATCTTGCCTCCCCCTCTGGCACTCCTTCACATCTTATCCATCGCCATGTCTTGTTGGCAGTTTGCCCCCTGAATCTCTCTCAAGTTCATTTGCTTCTCTCCACCTCCTCTGCCATTCAAGCCACCACCATTTCTCAACCCAGCTACTAAAAACTTCCTAAATGGGGCCCCTGTGTCCACTCCATCCCTTCCAAGTGTGATCAAGGCAGCCCCTACCATCCTCACCACAGTTGCTTAAAACCGTTTCATGACTACTCACAGCTCTTGGAAAGAAGGTGGAGACCCTGAATATGGCCTGAAAGACCTCGCACTTCTCACCTATCTTTTCAGTTCTCCAAGAGTTTCATATTCCCCCACTGACATGGGGCCTCTGACCAAGCGCCATTTGTTCCAGGAAACCTTCCCAGACCTCCCAGTCTTCCTTACTGGCTTTTGCTCGTTCAGGGAACTTCACTCAGTTTGTCATTATACTCAGAACTATGATCACTTGATTGATAACCATGTCTGTTTTTTATTTAAGTGTATCACTGGGCATAGTTCCGGACACTCAATAGGCACTCAGTGAACACGGGGATGAAACAATGAATGAATGGAGAGAGACTCAATTAAATAATGTGGTGAGGCGGTGAGTGACAGAGTACAAGCCAAAGCCAGACTAACAAATGCTAAAGGCCATCATACTCTTTGCTCTAAACCACACTGCCTCCCACAGCCAGGCCTGCTGTGTGCTTGCTGAGGCTGAATCTGTACAAACACAGCAAAAATAGACGAGCTCACTAAGCCTCAGCCCACATCCCCAAGAAGCACACCTTGAAGCTGACAGAGACAGTGGCATGGTACGTATGAACGAGCATGGGTTTTGTCATTTACTGGCCATGTGAACTTTAGCACATCACTCAATCTTTCTGTGCCTTGGCTTCCTTATCTGTAAAGTGGTAATAAAAGTAACGATACTACTTATTTTGCAGAAATTTGGTGAGGATTAAGCAGAATATAAACAGTCTCTTGGCTACTGAATACTAAATATTCAATAAGAGGGAACAAGAAGTAACCATGGACATAGCTTTAATGATAGTGTTAGGGCAAATAAAGGACAGCAACACGATGCACTGTACTGTGTGGACTAGGAAGTCGTTAAGAGGTACAGATTGAAAAAAGAGTTGTTAGCTGGGCGCAGTGGCTCATGCCTGTAATCCCAGCACTTTGGGAGGCCAAGGCAGGAGGATTGCTTGAGCTCAGGAGTTTGAGACCAGCCTGGGCAACATGTTGAAACTCCATCTCTACAAAAAATACAAAAATTAGCCAGGTGTGGTAGGGGGTGCCTGTAGTCCCAGCTACTTGGGAGGCTGAACGGGGAGGATGGCTTGAGCCCCGAGATCAACACTGCAGTGAGCTGAGACTGCACCACTGCACTCCAGTCTGGGCAACAGAGTGAGACTGTCTCAAAATAATAATGATAATAATAACAATAAAATAAAAATAGAATTGTCTGTGTCACATTTAACAAATATATATTGATCCCTTACTAAGTTAGAAGCTGTCTGGGGGACATATAAAAAAAATGTATATTAAGTCAAGGATTAAAAGAAATTTAAGTTTGAAGAGTCTCCCTTGCTTTTTTTTTTTGCGATGGAATTTCACTCTTGTTGTCCAGGCTGGAGTGCAATGGCGCGATCTCGGCTCACTACAACCTCCGCCTCCCGGGTTCAAGCAATTCTTCTGCCTCAGCCTCCCGAGCAGCTGGGATTACAGGGGCCAGCCACCACATCCGGCTAATTTTTTGTATTTTCAGTAGAGATGGGGTTTCACCATGTTGGCCAGGCTGGTCTTGGGCTCCTGACCTCAGGTGATCCACCCGCCTCGGCCTTCCAAAGTTCTGGGATTACATGCATGAGCCACCGTGCCCAGCCTCCCTTGCTTTTTAAAAAGAATTAGAGGTGCCACTGTGGTGGGTGAACAGTCTAACACCCACTAGGAGATGCAGAATTAAACTGATCACAGAAACACAACACAAGTGCGAGAACATTTATTCCTGCTTCCCTAGAATAAGCCTGGACAAATGAGCACTACAGTGAAGTGAGGGAAGCACGGAAATAAATGAGTGTGTGTGCTATCTAGAGCCTACTTAACTCAAACACATCCTCAACCACACAGCCCATGGAGTAAGGTACAGTGAGGTGAACCGGAGCTGTAAATTGGTTTCCCAAAGGTGGCCTGTGGTTTCAGGGAAGAAAGCCCATACACACCCAAACACACTCACCAGACACCACAAAAAGACACAGCAAGCCCCAAGGAGGTACCAGGAAAAGGCTGTTTCTCATCAATCCCTTCCTGACCTCAGATGGCATCTCTTTGCTATTTGAGTACCCCTCTCCCCCTTCACTTTGGTTTTCTTGTCTCTAAAATAAGAATAATGGCCTCATGAGAGCTCAGTACAGATGAAATGAAATAGTGCACCTGAGAACACTTGGGCCAAGAGAATGTTCTATGTAAGAGTAATGGCATTTTTATTATCATTCTTAATAAGTGCACTATTGGCTGGGCTCAGTGGCTCACGCCTGTAATCCCAGCACTTTGGGAGGCCGAGGCAGGCAGATCACTTGAGGCCAGGAGTTCAAGACCAGCCTGGCCAACATGGTGAAACCCCGTCTCTACCAAATATATAAAAATTAGCCTGGGCGTGGTGGTGGGCGCCTGTAATCCCAGCTACTCGGGAGGCTGAGGTAGGAGAATCACTTGAACCTGGGAGGTGGAGGTTGAAGTGAGCCAAGATCACACCACTGCACTCCAGCCTGGGATGTGCAAACAGAGCGAGACTCCATCTCAAGAAATTTAAAAAAAAAAATAAATAAGTTTACAAATTAAAATCTTACTAGAGCTTAAATCCACCCAGGTGTAGAGTGGAGCTGATAACTTGAGCATCCCCCAGAGGGCACCATGGTTGCCTGGCACTGGGGACACTTCAATAACGTACTGGATTTCTTGGGCACCCACCACAAATATTTGCTGGGCTATAGCCTGGGCCACAGGGCAAGAATGGGTCCTCCTACTCGGCTCCTTGGGGAGACCCTCAGGATCCAGAGCCAAGTCTAGAAACACTGCTTCCCGAAAGGCACAGTTGTATGGCACACCTAATGCAACACTAAAATCACAGGATTTGAATGCCTACCTGTTTGAGGCAGTGGACTGTGAGCTTGGTGAAAAAGAAGTTGCACAGCACCTGTCCTCAGTGTATAATCTTGTTGGAGAAATAGGATACGAATACTGGAGAAAATAATCAGTGAGGCCAGATGAGTAAACATCAAATGATGAATAGAGGTAACAGAAATGATAGACAGTGCCCTCCGGGAATGGGAAGGATGAAGGCCAAATGGCAGAAAGGTGGTGTCTGGTGTCCAGACTCGATTCCAGTTCCGCCACTGACTCATTTAGTGACTTTCAGAAGTCACTTCATACAGACTCCAGCAAAAACAGTGAAGGTGAAGACCAGATAATCCCAAACTCTTTTCTAGGTCTGAAACCCTAAAATTATGACACAGTTCCAGTTTCTCCTTCAAGTCTACCCTGTGCCTCGGTTTTTGAAACTCCAAAGTTTACCACCACAGAAACAATGTCTAGGAAGCAGCTCCCCATATGTGCTCAGTTAGAAAGAGGCAGAATCCTCTTGTGGCCAAGAGACGGGATTTGGAGTCAGACACAACACATGTGGACTCTGCCATTGCTGGCTGTGTGACTTCGGGCAAGGCACTGAACTTCTTTAAAACCTCAGTCTCCTTATCTCTAAAATAGGAATAACAGCAACTACCTCAAGGATTGAGGAAATTCGATGAGAGAGCACTTTTAAAGAACAGAGTACGATGTTTGGAACAAGTACCCTCAATACATGTGAGCTGTTAGTAATATTTGTTTTAAAGTTCTGCACCCATACACACTTCTTTTTCTACAACGTGCATTTATCCTGTGTACACCCACTGCTTTGAGAGGAGGGTGTAAAAGATACGTCACGCCTTTTATGACACACCTCTCCCTACAAAGTTTCCTACTGTGCTCTGATGGTCGCCGACAGTCAGTAAACAGTAATTTAAAATAATTTCCAAATGGCACAGTCTCCCTCTCCAGGGAGATGCACTTCTGCCTGGGAGTATGTAACCAGACTTCTGAACGAACAGGTAATGTTCCTTATATAAAAGTTATTAGCACTCATTTTGGGAAAGGGGGAAAAACAGAAGGGCAATGCCATCACTATTCCTTAAGCCAAAGAAAACATGAACTAATGTATACAGTGGTGTCCCGGACGGGGGCTCTAAAGAGTGTTTGTCGCTTGGGAGAGTCCCACTGCCGCCCAAGCCAGCAACCTCCGAGAAAGGTCACTCCCAAAGTGGTTCCAGCTCTAAATATAAAGGTGTGTTTGTGCAGAGGACTAATTTGGTAGTTCTGATGTGTTTACTGGGGTTTTATGCTTTACTTTCAGCTTTTTCTCCCTTTTTTTTTTTTATTAGTGATGCCGGAAAGATAGAGGTCTTCATTTGGTTTATGTGTTTGTTTTAATATTCACCTAAGTCCTCTCCCACCTCCCTTCTCAAATCTACAAACACCAGAAGTCTTCTAAGAAACATGGCACTTCCTTCTTACCCAACTGGCCTCAAGGGAGTTCAATTTCCTCTGTATCTTCGATTCTCCAGTCCCCATACTGGAGCCAGAGGGGGGCATTCCACTGACACAGAGGTACTCTGAGGGAGCTTTAGAATACTTGGAAGAAAGTATTCATGTATTACTTGTAACATTTTGAAAACCACAGTGCATAAAAGTGTATCCACGCCCCTCTCCCTTGCCTTGAAGGCTGCCCGTTTGAAGTATGTGCCTGAATGTGCACGTCTGTTAAGGTCTGGCAGCTGAAACACACATGAAGGCCACCTGCCACCACTAGGGCTAATCCGAATGACTCAGCCAGCACCTCTGACCTCCTTCCCCTCACCACATGCACAGATCCAGAAGGCACCTGCCAGTTCCAAGGATGACCTTCTCAGGTGGAAGATATCCTTGCTAGATCATGGCATATGAACTCCACTTCCCCATGGGAGCCCTAAGGGCTGTGATTTAGAAGGCTTAGGAGCCATTCTCAGCTCTATACCACAAAGTTTCTCATTATGTCCTCCCCATATTGTAGTAATGTAGGTGCTTGATCTTCAAAGAAAACATTTGGGCGTAGATAGTTGAGTTGTAGCCAGACTGAGCAGTATTTTTAAGAATCCAATTCTCACCCTACTATATGTCTTCTTTTATATCTTCTCACCTTTTCTTCATTGCTATTATTGTAAGGTAAACTGGGGTACAGAGCTAAGCAGCTTCCCATATCAATAAAAATGTTAAAATACTATCTGCCTGTGATCCCAGCTGGTTGGGGCACTGACGTGGGAAAATTGTTTGAGGCCAGGAGTTCAAGGTTGCAGTGAATCATGATTGCACCACTGCACTCAAGCCTAGGTGATAGAGCAAGACCCTGTCTCTTACACACAAACACAAGTATTCGTACCTAATACTCTCTTAATTTGACAACTACCAATAGTAAAGTTGGGGAATGACACACATAGGAACAAGTTTTAGAGAACCAGTGACTCTGAGGAAGCCACCCTAATGACTAGATGGTTGACTGACACCATGAGGTTCTTCCTCCTAGAAGACTGGAAATGGGCACATGACTTGCCAACTAAATAAAAGATTTGTTGGGAACCAACCTTTTTATTGGAGACCCATGAAAGAAGCTATACATCTAAGCCAGACAACTTTGCTTCATGTTACTGTTGATTCATCTTTTATTAAATCAAAGTCTCTATAAAATCTCCTTTAAATGTTCCAGTCCAGGATCAACTAGATAAAGCCCTTGGGCCAAAGTGAGAAAACTGAGGGAAGGGAGGCAGTGATGGAAGTTCTGAGCTCAACGTCTGCATGTATAACTTGGGCAACTATCTCAGTGACTAAATTCTTTAACTCAGCTCTAAATTCTGCTTCAACTTAGGTAACTGCCCCTAAGAAGTCAAACAATTTCCAAGTGCTGCAAAATTTACCTTCTACTCTCTCTCTTGCTTATAAAACAAACATCATCTAGTGTTTTAGTTGTTTTAATTAAAGAAAAGCACAGAAAGTGTACTTGAAGTGCTGTTTCATTCTAACGAGATCAAGTGCATTCAGGGTGGTATGGACGTAGAGGAAGTGCTGTTTCATTCTAATGTAAGTAGAATGAGTGCGAAGTAAAGTTATTTGAAAACAAACATAATTTCTTCTTAGAAGGTAGAGAATGGTATATTCGTTGCTACCCCAAATGTTTAGTTTTGGAATCACAGAAAATAGATTATAAATACTGAACTAAGTCATTGGAGTTGATGAAGAACATCAGCAAATTTATCTCCAACAATCAAGAAGAACTAACCTGACCCCAGACGCCTGGAAGAAAAAGAAATTTTGACTTGGGAAGCAAGCAAGGGATAGGGTAACAGAATCAGAGAGCTGACCTTACCACATTCTACAACTGGGGACATGAACCCGGTCCCTTGACTACTTGACAACAGGCAGGCGGACACACAGACTAATGAGCACATCTTCCTCCTATTTTAATCACTAGGAGATAATTACAAACATTATTCTTACATTACAATAAACAGGGATGTATTATGGATAAAAACCAAAATCTGCATGATGCTTTGAGAGCATGCAGGAGATTCTTTTTTAAGTCACAAGCTCATGGTGAACACCATGGGTGTTCTGTATCTTTCCAAAATAAAAGCTTGGTCTCCACAGCCATTCAGGACCACTTCAGCAGCTCTGTGACCTTCAACATTCACTACCAAGGTCATCATCCTTGGAGCAAAGGAGAGAGAATTTATATATCCTAGAGATCTCCAGCTTAGCCAAAAGTCCACAATTTTGTTAACACCTTGTGCCTTATCTCAAACATTCATCTTAATTTCCATTGTATTCCTCAATATAGCTGCTATGGTTTGAAGGTGTCCCCCAAAGTTCATGTGTTGGAGACTTAATCCCCAACGCAACACTGTTGAGAGGCGGGACCTTTAAGAGGTGATTAGGTCACGAGGGATCTGCCTTCATGAATGGATTAATGCCATTATTGTGGGAGTAGGTCAGTGAACTCAGGAGTAGGTTTTTGATAAAAGAGTAAGTTCAGCCCCCTTCCTCTCTGTTTCTCCTTTGAGTGTTCTCTTGCCATTCCACCTTCTGCCATGAAATAATACAACAAGAAGGCCCTCATCAGATGCCAAACAGATGATGGTGCCATGCTCTTGAACATCCCAGCCTCCAGAATTGTAAGTCAAACAATTTTCTTTTCTTTATAATTGCCAAGCCTGTGGCATTGTTATAGCAACCAAAAAAGAACTAAGGCAATATCCATGTTTGTTTCAATAAGGAAGGAAAGCTGAGGGTCCAGGAAAATGTATTGTGTTGATCTTTTTTTTGACGGAGTCTCACTCTGTCATCCAGGCTGGAGTGCAGTGGCACGATCTGGGCTCACTACAACCTCCGCCTCTTGGCTTCAAGTGGGGCTTCAACCTCTCGAGTAGCTAGGACTAAGGAATGTGCCACCACACCTGGCTAATTTTTGTTTTGTTTTGAGACAGAGTCTCCCTCTGTCGCCCAGGCTGGAGTGCAGTGGCGCGATCTTGGCTCACTGCAACCTCTGCCTCCCAGGGGTTCAAGTGATTCTCCTGCCTCAGCCTTCTGAGTAGCTGGGATTACAGGTGCCCAGCACCATGCCCAGCTAGTTTTTGTAGTTTTAGTAGAGACGGGGCTTCGACATGTTGGTCAGGATGGTCTCAAACTCCTGACCTCAAGTAATCCACCCTCCTCAGCCTCCCAGAGTGTTGGGATTACCGGCGTGAGCCACCACAGCCAGCCTGCTATGCTTTCTTGGGTGGAAGGCAGAAAGCAGGAATGAGAGCAAGCAACCTGAGAATTTTCTCTGCCACCAGGCTGAGGGAGCCACCCAAACCCTGCCGTGGATTGAGTTCCATGTGTCTCTCTTCATCGAAAAACACCTTATTCTAGCCTCTAAGACCCGTTTCGTGAAGTCCAGGTGCCACTGCTAACTGCAGTCCACTCCCACCTTGGCCCAGGACTATACCTCCTCCGGCAGGTGAGGCTGGAATGACCACGTCTCTCTGGAAATAACAGAGGTGATGGTCAAAGATGTTCAGGGCTCCTGGCCCTTTCATACATTCCCAGGGAATAACGACCAAGTGGATAAAATGCCATTATCCAAAAACTCCAAACAGCCTAGGAAAATAGGCTCACTCAGAAGAGGGAGAAATGAGGAAGAGAACCTGTCCCATTAACCCTAGCCTAAACAAGATGACCAAAAGTCAGGTAGTAAACGCGTGGAAATCCCAAGCAATCTAGTGAGCTGTTTCTGAAAAGGCCCCATGTACATGATTCAATTAAGCTAGAAGGCTTCCCTTAGAATATTTAAATTTTTAAGTCCTGTGCTTAAATTTAACCATTGTTCACATTTTTCTTTATCCCTTTCCTTTTAAAACTTTTGGATGCTTTTTCTGAAAGAAAATACGTTGAATGGAAACAGAGCTACTGTGCACATTCTGCTATTGTATGAGTCATTTGCATATCCTTTCTGAGCCTATGTTTATGCATGACATAGAGACTGGCTTATCCCTTCCCCTATTTCTGATCTTGTCTATAGGATACTCTCCACAGTGACCTCTGCCTTCCAGTCTCTCCCTAGAACCCTGCCTAACCACCTTCACTAGGAAAATGCACCGGGGCGAATGAACACTTAACAACAGGTGTTCTCTGCTCTTCTGGCCCTTCCCTAATTCCTTTTGGAATATGGGAACTCATCTGGCTTTGCCTAAAACGGCATAATCTACAGAACTAGTTCTCCTGGGCTGTGTATACATGTGTGTACATGGAGATGAAGGGCAGAGGGAGGGTCACACTGGGGTGTTAGGTGCACCATTTGGGAGCAGGTACAAGAAACAGCACTACAGAAACAGCATCAGGCATCAGTTGGGCAAAATTTCGTAACAGAGCATCTGCTACGTTCATCTAAGCATTTTTCTTCTGCCATTTTCCTGACTGTTAATGGCACATAGGGCCCTTGGAGGGCCTTGGAAGAGTCCCCTCCAAGACTCTGGAAATAAGAGAAAATTGCCCTCAGAAAATTGCATTTTAAAATCAACGCCTAATGAACTCAATTAAGACAAATTAAAGCACCACAAGGAGATAGATTGGGTCCCAGTCCTGTCAAGCATGAAAGTAATCAGATCAAATGTTCAGTAAAATAGCTAAAGAAGAAATGTGAGAATGGGAACACCAACTAGGGGAGGGGAATCTGTCACCTGCCAGCCATGGGACCTTAGATAGAAGGGTCCAGAGACAAAGACAGGACATGTTCTCCCCAAGCGGTGTCCAGGGGGAGAGGAGACTTAGCCTCATGGATTCTGAGAAGAAATCCAAATTTTGGAAGTCTCATTGATTCTTGCATCCTGGTTCTGGTTTTGCCTAACCAGCTCTTGGTTATAATTTTACCCCCATAGCACTGGCCCTGAGGGAGAGGATGCAATGGCAGAAAGGCATGGTACTCGGTCCCATTGGCAGTTGTCATTCTCACTGTAAATCAACAAACTGGCATTGAGTTTGGGATTTGGCTTGCTTTGGCCCCATCTACAGGGAGAGAGTGTTCTGGCTGTTTGACTAGAGTGGTCTGGTCCCCCTCAGTCCTTATAATTTCATCATAAATAAATAAATTCATTACTGACAGATTGGGCCGTGGGCCTTTAAGACAGGTTCTGAATTCACCAACGAAAAGATCCCAACAGGTATAATTCTGTATGTGAGAAAGCAAGAAAAGTAACGAACAGGACTATGCCTTTTCCGTGAACAATGACAAGAAGACACAGGGTGTCTCGTTAACTGGAGGCCACTCTGTTGGCTTAGGACCTGAATGAGTTTGGTTATGCACATTGAGAGCAGAGTGGTCTGTAAAATAGAGGGAGGGGAGTGTGGGGTTCCCAAGGATGACCCTAAGAGGTTGAAGCATGAAAGCTAAAAGGGTTTTTTTGGGTTTGTTTTTTTTTGTTTTTTTGGTTTTTTTTTTTGAGGCAGGCTTGCTCTGTCGCCCAGGCTGGAGTGCAATCGCACAATCTCGGCTCACTGCAACCTCCACCTCCCAGGTTCAAGCAATTCTCTCTGCCTCAGCCTCCCAAGTAGCTGGGATTACAGGCACCCACCATCACGCCTGGCTAATTTTTGTATTTTTAGTAGAGACAGGGTTTCACCATGTTAGCCAGGCTGGTCTCAAACTCCTGACCTCAGGTGATCCACCCGCCTCGGCCTCCCAAAGTGCTGGGATTACAGGCATGAGCCACCGCATCCGACCTAAAAGGACTTCTAAGGAAAGGAATGGCTGATGCGCAGTTTTGGGTTTCTGCTATACAGCCTGCCCTGCACCACCCTGTGTAACACCCCTCCATGCCCTGCCTAAGTCTTCAGTAGAATGCTGCTGAGAGGCCAGCAAATACGACCATGAAACCTCAACACAGGCTGTGGGGTCAATATGCCTGGGCTTAATGTCCGCTCCACCACGCACTTACTGGATAATCTAGGAAAAACGTTATGTAACTTCTCTGCCTCAGTTTCCTCATCTGCAAAGTGGGGATAATGACAGCAATTACCTTATGTGGGTGCTATATACACATGGTATTATTATGAGGGTTTTGTGTGAAGGAGGGGTGATTTCACATCTGGGTCAACTCAGTGCAGAACAACTCTAGGCACAGCAGCAGACACCAAGGCAGAGGCCGGTAGAGTCCCACAAACATCAAATTAGCAGATGCTCTGAGGACATGGACTGGAGATTCAATGCAGTCAGCTTAAGGAGCTGGACAAGCCCAGCTGACATCTGGATTCCAGTAACAGTAATTAACGTTTATCAAACATTTACTACGTGTCAGGTACATATCTGTTATTCTGCAGCGGCTTAACTGACCAGTATGATTTTAAGTAGAATTAAATCCGAGAGAAGAGGAGGTAAAAAATAAAAATCAGAGCAGAAAGAGGATCTCAGTCTCATTTCTGTTACAAGCAAAAACACAGATTCTACTCAGTTATACCCAGTCTTGAATTTCCAACGAGCCAAGGAATTGACAATTATCTCAAATAATACCACTCAGTTCCTAAGAATGCTGAAACTCAATGACTCTCAATGCTGGCAGAATGTTTACAAAATCCTGATGCCCAGGCCCCACCTACAGAGATGGATTCACTCAATAAGGGAGGCCTGGGCATCAAGATTCTTAACACTCCAAGTGATTGTAATGCAAGGCAAGGTTAGGAGTCACTGCTGTGATGAACTTCAAATAATAGGGATCACCTGGTGTAACTGCTGACTGCACAGATTTCCCAGCCCCCTTTCCTAGAACTTCTGAGTTAGTAAATCTGGAAAGGAGCTCAGGAATCCTTACGAGCACCCCAGGTGATGTACAGAATCAAAAGGTTCAGAAAACAAGGAGCGCTTTTAGGGCCGGGTGTGGGTAATACCATAAAATCAACAGGGATGTCAAATTGACAGTAATGACTCCAAGTACACATATTTACATCTGTTAATCCAGAATCCCTCCAACTGAGGTTTTGTTCCAGTCCCAACCTATGTCCAGGACTCAGATGAAGACAAATCGTGAAAAAAACTCCCAGTCCCGAGACTATGCAATCTTTACCGGGTAGGTCACAAGGCCCAGAGACAGAACCAATTGTTACATGTGGTTCCAGTCATTCCTTAAGGGATTTTTCTTTCACTATTATTTGAACCAAACCACCAGGACCTAGTATTTAACAATGATGTAAGCTGTATTCACATCACTGAAGAAGCATTTAGATATCAATTCACTTGAAAGTATGTTCAACCGCTTAAAAACAGGATGTGGCTTATTTTCCCATTTTAAATAAATCTTACACTGTATCATTTAAAATGCTCCACTGCATTTTTTTAAAAAAGGAAAAAGGCAGTTTCCAAGCTCATTCTTGAAGTTTACAAGTGGTTATATAACCGTGATATCAAAACCTGACAAGCAGCATTTAAAAAGGGGGCGAGGGGAGGTGCAGGGGGGTGGTGTTGGAGGAGGGGACATAGGCAACCTCATCTGACTACATCCAAAGATGCTAAAATAGTAGTCTACTAAAATAATTATATATGATGACTAAGGGTTTTTGATGCAAGAATGACTCAACATTAGAAAATCTGTTTACACAAGTCACTGTTTTCAAGGATGCCTGTTGTCATTATGATCTATTTGACAAGGTTCTAGACAATGAAAAGACAAGTTAGGAATATTGGAAAGAAAAACTATCTGCATTTGCAGACATGCGGTAGGACTCAAAAATTCAAGATCAACCTCTTTACATCATAGATTGTCGTTTGACTTTTAAAAATAATTGTGAAATTACAATTTGCACATTGTAACAAGAATTGTTTTTCTAAATTGTTTCTTCCCCCTGAAATTCCAAAACCCTAAGGCAACTATCATAAGGGTTTTCCTATGCTTGATTTACGTGTGATCCTTCCAGTTAAGTCTTTCAAGTTTTAAATTCAAAGGCCAGAAAATGCTGAAAAACAAAAACACTGCAGAGGTCTTAACAAGGGCGTAAGGTCAAATACACCTGTGCAGAACTCGACCCCTACTCAATGCATCTGATGCAAAAGCCAGGCGATAGCAAACTCTGCTGCATGCTAGAATCACCTGGGGAGCTTTTTAAACATGCTGATGCCAAACTCCCACCCCCCCAGGCATCCTGATTTGGATGGGGTGTAACTTGGGCTTTTCAAAGCTCTCCAGGTGATTCCAACAAAGTTTGGGAGGCACTGGCTGAAACAATTCTCAGGTTGCTCATCATTTTGGTAAGTCTGGGCTCTGAAGAGCTGATCGGTGTAGTTCCACTTTGTCCTTCCCAACAGCTAGCTCAATTCCCCTACCTTTAGCCAGTCTCATTTAGAAATTACCTGGGACATTTGCAAAACTTTTTTGCTTTGGGTTTTGTTTTTCCTACCTGCAGTAGCATATTAACACGTCACATACTCAGTGAATGTGCTTAGTTTTGGGGAGAAGCGTATACTCCTTTTGAACTGTTGTATCTAGTCAGTAAAGCTGTTATGCAAGTTGACTGCAATATATCATTTCTGGCCCTGGAAGTAACAGCAATTGGTTAAGGTTCAGTCTCTGGCCTCCTGGTTTTATAGTTCATAAAGTGGTAGAAAAGGACACACGTAACTATAATATATGACAGATCATGGCAAGCTGTGATGAGTACAACAAGAAAGCCACAAAGTGTTAGGGGAATTCAAGAGAGGGAGAAATGTTCCTTTCCCGCTCAAAGTAATGATGCAGGATTGATTAAATCGGCACTCTTAGAAAGCTGTTGAAATAAAGAGGAACACCTTGCGTCCCTGTGCAGACTGGACAGAAGTGAGAAAAAGATGCCAGGCTGGGTGGAGCGACTTTTTTTCAGAGGAACCACTACAGTCAATAAGAACGGGGCAAAAATAAGAATGGTGAACACATATGTTGAGGACGCTGAGGTGAGGCCATTTCGAGGCTTGAGACCCATGCTCAGAAGCAGGTGGCAAATACCAGAAGACAGCCTTGGGACATAGAAGCAAAGAGACCAGAACCCATGGCCTGGAAACACCCAGAGGACCCCACTCTGCCCAGGGCAAAACAAAGACTCAAACTTACCAGAGCAGAAACCTCCAAAGGAACCAACGCCAGAGAAACCTTGAATCCTAAGTGGCGAATTGCTGGAGGCTCAGCGTGGACAAGACTGAGAGTGAAAAACTCCAGGGCGACCCAGTCATGGGAGGGGCATGCTTTCACAAGTTTTACTTCCAGGAGCTGGACCAGGTCCTCCAAGTGAATGTGGGAGAAAAATCCTTTCATACTTCACAGTGGGAGAGGAAAGGGAATGGTTTGCAATACACCAGAGCACTCCGTTCTTCTTAACAAGGCCTGCCCTCAGGAAAAACTAATAAACCAGAGCCAAAACCACCTGGAGGAAGGGACATGCGCACTTCCTGCCCGCTCTTGCCTCCCCAGGAAGAGAAGGAAAATACCTATCTCCAGCCATCCTGTCCCACCCAAGCGGGGAGAAAAAAACCTGAGACCCACTGAGCCCAGGGCACAGGGTCATTAAAGAAAAAAGCTGAGACCAGGGCACAGGCTCATTAGAGACCCAGACCTAATCATAGACCACAGAGGGCTTCCCCTCCACAACACCTTACCTCCACTTCACCAAAGGCCTAGCTACAGCAGTTCCTTTCACCTAGGATATCATGTCCAGCTCTCAACAAAAATTACAAGGCACACTAAGAGCAAAAAACACAAGAGACACAGCAAGCACCAAAAGCAGACTCAGACGTAGCAGGGCTGTTGGAATTATCAAATCAGGAAATTAAAATAAGTAGGACTAACTGCAGGTACAAAAGATTTGCCAACTGGTTCCTGGATAAGAAATTATCTCTGGCTTGAATGAGCTCACAGTATGAAAGCTTCACCCTAAGATAAATACAAAAAGTTACAGATTTGTATCTGGAGAAAAACAGCTGAGAACTAGGTTTCCTGAGAAGCTCGACGCTCCCCCCTCATAACCTACTGTATCCAAATCTCCGTGGTGGGGCTCAGACCTACACTTTACGAAGCATCTCAGGTGCTCTGATGATCATGCAGGGTGAGAATACTGCTCTATGCCAAAAGAAACTCAAAGAGACCAACCCAGAGACACACATTCTAACTGTACCAACAGAAATGAATGACCTCATTGGAAGATTGTTGCTATCTTTTATAAAAAGCACAATAAGCATAAAACATCTTTAAAAATTATACTATTCCGCCAGGCGCTGTGACTCATGCTTGTAATCCCAGCACTTTGGGAGGCCAAGGCGGGTGGATCACGAGGTCAGGAGATCGAGACCGCGGTGAAACCCCGTCTCTCCTAAAAATACAAAAAATTAGCCGGGTGTGGTGGCCGGCACCTGTAGTCCCAGCTACTCGGAGAGCTGAGGCAGGAGAATGGCGTGAACCCGGGAGGTGGAGCTTGCAGTGCACCGAGATCGCGCCACTGCACCCCAGCCTGGGTGACAGAGCGAGACTCCGTCTCAAAAAAAAAAAACAAACAAACTATCATTTAAAAAAATAAATAAATAAATAAAAAATAAAAATAAAAATTATACTATTCCATATCCATTTGATTTATACCTTACTGGGCCAATCCTAAGTGTCTGAAGGTATTTGATTCTTTTTGATTTTGTTTGACTTTTTTGAAATAGAGCAATAAATTCACCAATAGGATAGGAATGATAGCTAAAATGTCTTCACATGTACCATGAAGACATAGAAGATAGGCCTTCAAAATATATAACTGATTTTATTTAATGATGTAGGCTATTCTTTAAAACAAGTCTACACTTAGGAGCAAGGAAATTGTCTATGAATTACATACCTTCTAATTAGTGTTTTCTTTTTATTTATTTATTTTATTTTTTATGAGACAAGATCTCACTCTGATGCCCAGGCTGGAGTGCAGTGGCACGATCTTGGCTCACTGCAGCCTTGATCTTCCAGGTTCAAGTGATTCTCCTGCCTCAGCCTCCCAAGTAGCTAGGACTACAGGTGTGCACCACCACATCTGGTTAATTTTTTAAAAACATTTTTGTAGAGACAGGGTCCCACTATGTTGCCCAGGCTGGTTTTCAAACTCCTGGTCTCAAGCAATCCTTCCACTTCAGCCTCCCAAAATGTTGGGACTACAGGTGTAAGCCACCACACCCAGCCTAGTGATTTCTTATAATCCACTTTATTTAGCTCATTATTAGAGGTAGATTGCAAAGCCACTCAGAAAATCAGCAGACAAGATACAGTCCTCAACATTCATAGGATCTTTCTTCCATCTGCCAAATAAAAAACAAACAAAAAAAAACTGGAAGCACACACTAAATGCAGAAAGAATCTCCCCTTTAAAAACTGTGAGTCATTGTGAAGACATTAAGTTTATTGTGGCCGATGGAGAAAGGCCATTTCCCTGCCGCTCAAAAAAAGATGTCCTCATCCTGATCCCTGGAAGCTGTGAATATCTTCCAGGAATGCTTAAGGTAAGATTTTTGAGATGGAGAAAGGATCTGGATTATTCAGCTGGGCCCACAAAGGGAATGCAGGAGGCAGGAGAGTCAGAGAAGGAAATGTGGTGATGGAAGTGGGAGTAACGGAGAGAAATCTGAACTTGAAGGAGGGTATCACAAGCCAAGGAATGCAAGCGGTTACTAGGAACTGGAAACAGCGAGGAAATGGATTCTCCCCTAGAGCCTCCAGAAGGAACACGGCCCTGCCGGCACCTTGATCTTAATCCAGTGAGGCTCATGCCAGACCTCTGCTTTACACAGCTGTGAGAGAATAACCGTGGATTGTTGTAAGCCACTAGGTTTGTGGTAATTTGTGACAGCAGCCACAAGAAACATGCTTGCCGTCTACCAGCATGTGCTAAAAGAGCGTCAAGCCAATTAGTGATAGAGAAGCAGGAATCAGGGTGGTCCCTCCCCCTGGGAGATGATGCTGCTGACATGGCGAGAAATGTACCTTGGTTAATGTGTGTTTTTGATACACTTACGCATCCCTTATTAATATCAGGTGTGGTCACGGGGCAAGGTACCTAACTGCACCAAGCAAGGATTGACCTAGCTTTGTATTGTTTTGTTTTTGAGGGGAATCTTTTGTTCTTTACCTGTACTGCTGAGTTGGTCCAATTATTAGATTATTACATTATTACATTGTCCCTCCTACAATCCTGAGGCAGCAAATAAAATAATAAATGTGGTCAAACTGGGGTTTCCCCCTCTCTGGGAAACTAATTTAAACTTTTGGGGGAATAAATCCACAATCCTGGGCTCATCAGCATCCCTGCACCAGCCAACTCACCCAACCAATCAGAAGGCAGAAGTATCAACCAATCACTGGGAAACTCGAGGCCTACAAGTCTCGGGAATGGTCCATGCCTGGGCAGTGATTCACTCAAAACGACACTGCAAGTGGGAGCAGGGAGGAATACAACTGCAAAAAGCCAAAGTTCAAACTTTCGACCAGTCTCCCACTATCGAGAAAAAATTTGGCCAGGAAGTCAACGAATTACCTGCACAGAGTATTATGAAAATGTCTATTATATAAATGAAGGCATGAAGGGAAGCCTCAAGCCATCAACTGCCAAGCTAAGAAGATCTCCAGGCATAAAGTAAATCCCTCCTCGACCTCACTCCCCTACTCTCCCTTGGGCCTCGTCCTGCATCAGCTACTGCTGAGGGACCTGCACTTCCGGTAATAAAAATGTGAAGGGCAGCCGGACATGGGGGCGCATACCTGTAGTCCCAGCTACTCCAGAGGCTGAGATGGGAGGACGTCTTGAGTCCAAGAGTTTGAATCCGGCATGGGCAACATAGCGAGACCCTGCCCCTAAAAAAATTTTTTTAATAAAAAGAATTGGGGACTGGGAGGCAACCAAAAGCCAGAGGTCCATCATGGTGCAGAAATCTGACCTCCATATAACACCATCAGAACGAACATCTGATGTGCAAATGGCAGGTCCATCGCAGTAGCACGTTCTCTACACAATATAGATATTACCTAAGTTTTAGCTGTAGAGAGAGAAAAGAGACAGGAGTGAGGCCCAAAACTTCAGCTTAGCAGTAATTGATATAAATTAGCAATAACTGATATAAATACAAGCTGCTGGACCCGTGAGTTTCTAATGTCTTTTGCTCCAAGTTGCAGATTATTTTAAAATTAGTCGAGAAAAAGATACAAGTTCCCTTCCACCACCTCCAGAAAAAGGCAGCCAAGGTCTTGTATGTTAAACAAAGGTTTAATTTGAGGAAAGCAGATGAAATTTCAGAATCCTCTTCCCTCCCAATCTTCCCACACTCATCATTCTCCATGCTCCAACAGCCTCAGCTGAAAACACAGAATGGCCTCTCCTGGAATACGGAGGAGACACATGGTCCCGGCCCTGCTGCGCCTCGCCTGCTCCTCCCAAGCCCTGGAACAACTCTCCCCTGCTGCGCTCTCACTGGCAGGGCATGGCTGTTTTTTCACCATTTCTGAAGACGGATCCTTCACTCAACAGCTGTGTTTGTTTACAGACCTAGAAATGAACGCAGGACACATACGCTTGATCCAACGGAGTTTTTCTTTTGGCATTTTCCCCTCTAGACTACACAATATATTGGTCCTTGTAGTCCAATTATAACTTGCCATTGATGTGAGCCAAGAGGGTGGGCAGAGAGAAGGTCACCATGGAGGGCAAACTTGTATTATTTGCTCCACATTCTATAGATTTTTTTTTCTTTCCTTTTAGCAGGGCCAAGGACTGCACCTGCATTCACCATCTGAGCCTGCCATTTCCTTAAAATGGAGGGGCAGTGTCCCCACTTCTCAGAGGGGTCAGCCCAGTAAATAGTCCAGTGGAGTCCATCAGAGGTTCTGCCCAGCCATGATAGGACAAACCCGAATGTCAACACCCACAAACCACACTTTCATATCTGGCAAATTGTCCCCTGTAGCAAATAGCTTTTAGCATGAAACCCGCCAGCCTCTTTCTTTTTAATGGGTGTTTTAAAAGAATAAGGATAAAAGCCTAGGACATAAAAGGCGATGGGATGTTTTCTTGAAGTTTTTCTGTGTAGAAAAATACTTTTTCTTCTTGTTTTGTTTTTGGAGTCTTTTTATTCCCATAAGAGTGCCTCCCCACAACTTTGAAAATAAGAGGATCATCATTCTGTAAGAACACAGAATTTTACCATGACTTTTTACATGAATACTTACAGGCCTCTTGTTTCAAAGTAAAGGGGTATGTTGTGCTTTCATTTCTTTGAGTTCTCTTCCATACTATTCCTCCCCTGGGGTTGGCTGCAGACAGTGGAGGCTGAAAACACGGGAGAACTTTCTCCAAGTTCTAAACTCGCATCTGAGATGCATGCTTTGTACTTTAAAACACAGGTTTCTAAAAGCTAACCTATTTACCAAGACTTGCAGAATTCATAAGAGTATCTGCAAAGCAGAGTGTGGGGATGCAAAGGCGCATAGGAGTTTACAGGTCAGGTGGAGAGCTGGGCGCCTGCCGCACGGCCATGTTTTATGGGCTGTGGCTACATCTCACAGTCGTTAAAAGGTTTCTCCTCCAGACTCCCAGGATACCGTCATTGCAAAACGGACTTCAGCTGGCTGCACATCTGCGTCGCACGGCGGCTTAAACATCAAGCCAACTATTAAGATCCCCTCTAGCAACATACTCCTATCCCCTGGAGAAGAACTGCGAGAATATGGACAGAAAATCAATATGTTGATAAGACATATTATGGGCACTGGAAAAACACTTAAAATGCGTGGACACACACTCAGACATGCACATTGAGTTGCATCTTTTTATTTAATCAGAATATAAGGATTGTTACAGATGCAATTATGTTCAGAGCTAGAAAGAATATTTATTTAGTAAGCTGGGGATGAAGCTTATATTTCTATAGAATTTATGTGCCGTTTTACTCAGCTAGCACTTAGGACATATGTATATATGTTATATATTTGTATATTGTCCCTGATAATATCATAAACTCCAAGAGGGCAAGGCTGACTGCATAAAAGTTTGAATTCCCCCACGTCATGCCTTAGCAAAAGTCAGTGCCCAGGACTACTGCGAAAGACTATTAAAGCAAACCTTCAAGATCATTAAAGCAAACCTTCAAGATCATTAAAGCAGACCTTCAAGTGTCAACCCAGGATGTCACTGGCTGAATTTGGATGTGTCCTTTGAAAAATGACATATAATAACACTGCATTGACATTTGACCACTCACACCTTAATCAAGATACAACCCCTTCCTTTTAAGAAATCCAAGGTTGGCCAGGTGCAGTGGCTCAGACCTGTAATGCCAGCACTTTGGGAGGCTGAGGTAGGTGGATCATTTGAGGTCAGGAGTTCGAGACCAGCCTGGCCACCATGGTGAAACCCCATTTCTACTAAAAATACAAAAATTAGCCAGACATGGTGGCGGGCGCCTGTAATCCCAGCTACTCGGGAGGCTGAGGCAGGAGAATTGCTCGAGCTCAGAAAGTGGAGGTTGCAGTGAGCTGAGATCACGCCACTGCAGTGAGCTGAGATCACACCACTACACTCCAGCCTGGGCAACAGAGTCAGACTCCGTCTCAAAAAAAGAAAAGAAAAGAAATCCAAGGGGAGTAAGACACATTCCTTGTCCTCAAGGAAGTTACGGACAAGTGGGGGCAATGAGACAATAACAAATGACAAATGACAACTGAGCGATCAGAAAGTACAAAGAAAATGCCGTAAAGACTTTGAGGAAAGGGAGTCTCTAAGTCTACTCTGAAGATATCAATGAAGCCTTTTTGAAGGAGCCACCATTTGAGATGGGCCTTGAAGGTTGGCCAAGAGCAGGTAAAGAACAGCCAGTGTCAGCAGGTGCCTGAGATACTGACCAACACAGACAGGCAGTGCTGTGTCAGTGGCCATGTCTGCGTCTTGTGTTCCGGCCATTCCATCCTTCCATCCACCCCTGTTGGCTCCAGGGCTGCACTTGGTAATGCCCCAGCTGCACTGGAATTTCTCTATGCTATTAATTGATCACCCTGAGTCTATTACAGAATATTATGTGTCCTTCTCAATCTTACAAGAAGAGAAATGCACTTGGAATTCTATGTTAAAATAATATACTGTGCTCCTTCTGTCTACTGCCCAATTATATTCTGCTGGAACACTCTACTGGAAAACTTACTATCATAACCAGCCAAGTGCTGAAGGGCATAATGTTTTGATTGTCAAACAGGTTGTACATGATGCAAATATATGACTTAAGAAGTGATTTCACAAACATTTTGGTAACAGTAATCTGACTCATAAGCTCCAACAGAGTCTCATAAAACAGCTGTGTGTATAAGTAATCCAAAGATAGTCTTGGAGAAATGTGACATAGAAAAGCATAAAATAAGAGAAGAAAGCTTGAATCTTGAAGAGGATATTGTATCGCATTGTAACGATAATGCCGAATATAAGGCAAAGGCCAAACTGACCCTCGTTCAACTAATATGTGCTATTGCCATTCAGATCTGCTGGAGTTGTTAATCCAGGGAGAAAGAACAATGTCCGTAATGGCTTATATTTTACAAAATTAACTGGAGACTTTCTACTCACTAATTACAGCACGAGGTGAAGAAAACTCATTTTGGAGGCTCCGCATAACAGCACTTATTTCAAAGAGACGTTTTTGATGCATTCAAAACTTTACTTTAACTTTTATTCACCAGACATCTACTTTCACATGTTAAAACACTACGGTCCAGCCAGGCACGGTGGCTCACGCCTGTAATCCCCGCACTTTGGGAGGCTAAGGCAGGCAGATCACCTGAGGTCAGAAGTTTGAGACCAGCCTGGCTAACATGGTGAAACCCCATCTCTACTAAAAATACAAAAATTAGCTGGGTGTGGTGGCAGGCGTCTGTAATCCCAGCTACTTGGGAGGCTGAGGCAGGGAGAATTGCTGGAACCCGGGAGGTGAAGGTTGCAGAGAGCTGAGACTGCACCACTGCACTCCAGCCTGGGTGACAGAGTAAGACTCTGTCTCAAAGAAACAAATAAATAAATAAATAAGTAAAACTATGGTCCAAGAGAGCTAAACTACTTGCCCAAAGTCACCCAGAGCAGCAAAGTCAAGGTGGAAAGACGGTGTTCCTTGCTCTACTCTGATATAAAGTAAATAATTACTTTAATTCACATGCAGACTGACAAAGGTATTTAGGAAAAGGAACAAATAAATTATAATTTCACAGTTCCTGTTTTAATTTCACTAGTCTATCATACCACCTCAAAAAATATACTTGAAGGTCAGGTACACTGGCTCATTCCTATAATCCCAGCAATTTGGGAGACTGGGGTGGGAGGATTACTTGAAGCCAGGAGTTCGAGGCTGCAGTAAGCTATAATCGCTGTACTCCAGCCTGGGTGACAGAGCGAGATCTTGTATCTAAAAAAAAAAAAAAAAAAAAAGTTGAAAAATAAAAATTAAGATGTGAAATTCTGCTTTCTTAGATAAAATTAAGAAAGAGGCCAGGTGTAGTGGCTCACACCTGTAATCCCAGCACTTTGGGAGGCCAAGGTAGGCAGATCACCTGAGGTCAGGAGTTCTGAGACTAGCCTGGCCAATGTGGTGAAACCCCATCTCTACTAAAAATACAAAAATTAGCCAGGCATGGTGGCTGGCACCTGTAATCCCAGCTACTTGGGAGGCTAAGGCAGGAGAACTGCTTGAACCTGGGAGGCAGAGGCCGCAGTGAGTTGAGATTGTGCCACCGCACTCCAGCCTGGGCAACAGAGTGAGATTCAGTCTCCAAAAAAAAAAAAAAAAAAAAAAAAGAAGAAGAAAGAAATTAGTCTTTAAAATTCACTTCTTTTTTTTAAATTCTTTTATTTCACTCAAGCTTTTAAAATCTGATTTGTTTAGTCTCATGTGTTCATTACTTAAAACTCAAAGCAGGTTCAAGGCAAGAGTTTAGGGTTATAAGGGCCTTAAAGAGCATGTGTTTTGCTGATGAGGCAAAACTAGGGTCTGGAAAGGTTAAGTGAATCGAAGGTCACCAGGGCATTCATGTCAGAACCAGGACTAGAACCAAAGTGTTCTGGATTTCAGCAGCTGAGTGGTGGCCGAGGACCTCAAGGGGAAAAAAGCTGAGTTCTAACTTTCAACAACATTGCTTGCATTTTTTATCTACTCATGTGCACAGACGTCCCCTCCACGTGGAACTGCTCAAGGAACCATTTGGCCAGATTCTGTGGCAATGTATGACCTTCCTGGGGACACCACGTTCCTGGTAAGATTGATGATATTACTAGTATCAAGCATACATACATACATATATGGTAATGAGGAACTTAACGGATATGAAACTTCAAGAATCATCTCCTGATTCATTGAATGTCAAATCCCAAGACAGCGGCAAGATATTCTTTAAGGGAAGCCTTCCTTATACCATCTAACCATTCAGGAGATAATTCAATGGCTGTCCTGAGCAGACACTGTGCTGGACATTGAAGATATAAACAAGAATAAGACAGTCTCTGCTCTTAGGAGCTCTTGGTCTAGTGGGCAGCACAGATGAGTAAATAGACCACTCATGTTAGTCTTACACGAGGACCTCTATTCTACCATGGCTGCACCGACTCCCCTCCAACCACAAATGCATCCGTGGACAAGGGAGCACACAGAGAAGGGGACAGTGGCTGCACCTCATGTGCGTGTGAGCATGTGGAAGGGGGTGGAGAGAGGGTGAAGGGGTTTGTGGTTGGGTCAGAGAAAAGACTGGATGCCAGAATTGCGAGGCACAGCCGGACCCAAGGGCTGCGTTTTTCTTCGGTGTCAGGCTTGGCAAGCCGCCTTCTATGACTGATCCTCTAAGGCATCTTAAAGCTTCACCCTTTAGCCACTGCCACCACAGCTATTCAAAAGAAGTCAAAATTAACACTCAAATACCACAAGGCACTGTAGGGAAGAGAGGGGTTTTGTTGATCTTGTTTTAAATAGGCTTGGTTGCAAACCGTAGTTGTTGGTATGGCAATTTTCCAAACACAAATCTAGTCAGGTCCTGCAAGGACCCAACAGAAACCCAGATGGATTTCTTTGTCTTGAAAAAAAATGCCTGGTGGTGAGTTGTGAGCCAAAACTCACTGAATCTATTCCTGATTCTGCCAGTTATTTCTGACCTTGGTGACCATCATCATCTCTTTATCCAGCTCCTTGCCTGGATAGCTGGGAGATCACTTGTCTAAGTCTGGTGGCTACTCAATCTGCGAATTCACATTCTCAGTACGAATTCACAAAGATGCTGGGGCCCGTATGGACTGTCATCTTTCCAGAAAGAAGCTGGACTATAACATAAGGCAATATGCAAAACGTTTGCGGAAAATGTTATGTTTGATTGGCATCTTCCCCATGCAGGGGCATTCTTCTCTACTAGCAAGAGTAATCTACTATAATTCTGTTTCTCATCTGCAGAACTTTGATATGGAAAATGAGCCACTTCTAGGGCAGTGCATCACAAAGGAAACTTGTGAAGATAATTAGAGGCAAGATTCTGAAATAGACAAACTTTCAGAGTGGGCATTTTAGCAGGGTGAGAGAGTGATGATGAACAGTTATGACTGAAGCTACGAAGGGCATTCAGTGGCACACAAGATGGAATTTTCTCACTGCCCTGAAGTTCAGGAATAGACAGGGAACCTGCAAGGAAATGGGCATTCCTGATCTATGAAGATGAAGCTGTGGATACATTGTATAATTATGAAAGAACACTCACAGATTACCAGGTAGGGTGCAGAGACGTAGGGAGAGCAGTCTGGAAATGATGCAGGCAGCATATCTGAAACTAGTCTTATCTCAGCATAAAGAATTTCCTTATCAAGGGATCAAAGCAACTTTGGGACTCACAGTTGCCATAGGTACTAGGTTGAATAGTGTCCCCCCAAAATTCACGTCCTTCCCAGAACCTCAGAATGTGACATTATTTGGAAATAGCATCCTTGTTGATATAATTAAGATGAGGTCATACTGGAGTAGGGTGGGCCCTTAATCCAATCTGACTAATGTCCTCATAAGGGAAGAAAAAGAGACACATAAGCAGGCATAGGGAGAATGTCCTATGATGGCCGAGGTAGAGATGGAAGTGATGCTTCTACAAGACAAGGATTGCCAGCAACACCAGAAGCTCAGAGAAAGGCATGAACAAAATCCTTCCTAGAGTCTTCAGGGGGAGCACTGCCTGCTGACACCTTGGTTTCAGACTTCTAGCCTCCTGAACTATGAGAGAATAAACTTTGTTGTTTAAAGTCATCCACTTGTGGCGGATTTAGGAAACTAACACACTATGCTATGTATTTTACAAATGGAAGGATACTTATATGTTTACGTGGCAGCCCAGGGAGAGGGCTACCAAATAGGGTCCAACAATCTCATTGAGTTTAGAAGACAGAGATTGGAGTTTGGGAAGGCCAAGGCATCTAAATTTTCAGGGCTAAATACTGGAAAAGAGAGTGCTACATAGAGAGAGCGCTCCAAAGATCTACAGAGGGGTCTTCTCTAACCTTTGGCTGAGTTCTGAACTGCTTGTGTACAAAGAAAACCTCCAAGGCAAGGAAAGAACTATGGGAAAGCAGCAGGAAAAAAAATTACCAGTTTACACAAGGCTGGGGAAAGTTTGCGTGCTGGAGAACCAGAATGTAGTCACCTCATAATATATGGAGTATTAGGTAGAGTTCTTAAAAGAATGTGTCTTAGGAGGGGATAAATTAATCCTAAAATAAAGGCCTGTCTGAATCCACCATAACAAAGCTTGAAAGCAAAGTTCAAAAGGATCAAATTGATCTGCAAGTTACTTCGTTGCACAGAAGAATAAAATCTAACTTTTTAAAAAGGAATATAACAAAATCCAGCACACAGCATCTTTGCGTGCTCACTTTTTAAAAAGGAATATAACAAAATCCAGCACACAGCATCTTTGCATGCTCAAAAATTAGTGAGCATTTGAAGATGTAGGAAAATAACTCATAACTAAAAGAAAAATCAATCCATAAAAACAGACTCAGAAATAACAGAGGTGATAGAATGACTAAGGAAAGGACCTTACAATTGGTATTATAAATCATAAATATATGCTCAAGAATACAAAGAAAAGCATGAGCATGAGAAGGAAATACATGAAAGACACACAAAATAAGTAAATGAAACTTTTAGTCAAATGAAAAATGCATTAGATGGTATTAACAGCAGTTTAGATACTGAAAAAGAAAATATTAGTGAACTTGATGTCTTAGCAATAGAAACTTGCCCAAATGAGACAACACAGAGAGGAAACAAAACAAAACAAAACACTGAAGCGTGAGATATAAAGAAGTCCAGCCTATGGGTAATTTGAAACCCAGAAGGAGGTGACGAAAGAGGAAAGCCAAAAAGTGACTTGAAGAAGTAATGACCAAATTTTTCTGAATTTAAATAAAACTATAAACTCACAGATAGAAACTCAAAGAGCCTCAAGCAGAAGAAACCTAAATAAAACAACACCAAGGCACATGATAAAACCATTTCTGAAAACCAGTGATAAAGAGAAAATCTTAAAAATCAGCCATATAACAGAAGACAATTTATGTACAAAGGAACCAAGATGTCATCAGGCCATCCAGGGTAGAAGTCAGTAAAACACTGTCTATAAAGTGCTGCAAGGGAAATAAATACTGTCAATCTCAAATTATAGACCCAGTGAATATCTTTCCACAACACAGATAGAGAATTTTTTCAGATAAATAAAAGCTGAGGGGATTTATCACCAGTAGACAAGTATTACATGAAAAGTTAACAGAAGTTCTTCAAGCAGAAGGAACATGATTCTAGATTAAAAAAAAATGTTGATCTACAAAAAGGAATAAAGAGTGTGAGAAATGGTAAATAGGTGGGTATACGTAAGAGACTTTTTCTCATTTTTAATTTATTTAAAACGTGATTGACTGCTTGATGCAAACACTAACAGGGTATTATGGGCTTTGTAACATAAACAGAAATAAAATATATGAAAACAATAGTACAAAGAACAGAAGAAGGAAATTGAAGTATACTGTTGTAAAATTCTTACATTCTACGTGAAGTGGTAAAATATTTAAAAACAGACTGTGGTAAGTTAAGCACATATACTATAAACCTTAGAGCAACTACTAAAAATAAATAAAACATAAAGGTCTAAACCAGTAGTGGAAATAAAATAAAATCACAAAAAATACACAATCCAAAAGAAGGCAGAAAAAGGGGGGAAGGGAACAAAGAACAGATGGGACAAATAGAAAACAAATAGCAAGATGGTAGATTTACACCCAGACACATCAATAATCACATTAAATGTAAATATTCTAAACACACCAATTAAAAGGCAGAAATTGTTAGGTTGCTTCAAGAAATAAACAAGACCTAACTCTATGTTATTTATGAGAAACCCACTTTATATATAAAGACTAAAGACACAGATAAGTTAAAAGTTAAAAAGGTTAGAAAATTAGTCCGGGCGCGGTGGCTCACGCCTGTAATCCCAGCACTTTGGGAGGCCAAGGCAGGCAGATCACGAGGTCATGAGATGGAGATCATCCTGGAGAACACGGTGAAACCCGGTCTCTACTAAAAATACAAAAAAATTAGCCGGGCGTGGTGGCAAGTGCCTGTAATCCCAGCTACTCAGGGGGCTGAGGTAGGAGAATGGCTTGAACCTGGGGGGCGGAGCTTGCAGTGAGCCGAGATCGCACCACTGCACTCCAGCCTGGGCAATAGAGCGAGACTCTGTCTCAAACAAACAAACAACAACAACAAAAAAGGTTAGAACATTATGCCGTGTGCACACAAATGAAAAGAAAGCTAGAGTGGTCATATTAATTTCAGACAAAGATGACTACTGAACAAAGACTATTATCAAGGACAAAGAGAATAATCAAGTTCATCCAGAGACATAACAGTCCTAAATGTGGATTTCCCAGGAACAGGGCTTCAAAACACAGGAAGGGGAAAAATAAATGACAGAACTGAAAAAAGAAGTAGACAAATCCTTAATTATAGTTGGAGATTTCAACATCCAGTAATTGATAGAGCAAGTACAAAGAAAGCCAGTAAAGATTTGGGCTGGGCGTGGTGGCTCATGCCTCTAATCCCAGCGCTTTGGGAAGCCGAGGAGGGCAGATCGCTTGAGCTCAGGAGTTTGAGACCTAGGCAACATGGAGAGACCTGATCTTTCCAAAGACACAAAAATTAGGCATGGTGGCACGTGCCTGTAGTCCCAGCTACTCGGGAGGCTGAGATGGGAGGATCGCTTGAGCCCAGGAGGGAGAGGCTGCAGTGAGCTGTGATTGCACCACTGCACTGCAGCCTGGATGACACATGAAGACTCTGTTTCAAAAAGAAAGAAAGAAAAAAAGACAATAAAGAACAACACTATCAACTAACTTGACCTAACCGCCATTTATTGAACACTCTACCCAATAACAACAGAACACATATTCTTTTGAAGGGCACAGGAAGCATCCACCAAGATCAACCATATTATGGCCCTAAAATAAGACCAAAATTAAAAATGATTGATATCATACAGTGTTCTCTCATTACAACGGAATTAAACTAGAAATCAGTAAATCCCCAAATATTTCGAAATTAAACAGCATACTTCTAAATAATCCACAGGTCAAAGAAGAAATCACGAGGGGAATTTTAAAAATATTTTGAGCTGAATGCAAATAGAAAGCACAACATATCAAAAAAAATTGATGTTAGACGAAAACCTATATCCTTTAATGCTTATTTAGAAAAGGCTGTATAGCAGAGTGATGGAAGTACTTACAGTTCTAGCACTCAGAGTAATGTTATTTTGTAGATTTCTAGGCAAAGTCTCACTGCCATTGAAGTATGACTTCTCTCCTTTACCTTACCTCCCCAGAATAACTCAAGCTCTTTGTAATATGGGTGCTTCTGAAACAAAGATGGCCCTGCTGGGTTACCGCTGTGCAGAAGGAGGGCTGTGGGTTGGATCAGTGCTTCTCGAACCTTACTGTGCCTATGAATCACCTAGGGGTCTTGTAAATGCAGGTTTCTAATCTAAAGGTGCCTGGGATGCTGCATTTCTGACACGCTCCCTAGTGGGGCAGCTGCTGCTGGTCCACAGACCACATTTGGGTAGCAGGGATACATACATTTCATTTCAACCAGGAACAACAATTCCCACCAAATCTGTTTTTTCATTTCCTCTTGTGCACTCTCTCGTCTCTGGAGAAAGTGCTGAGCAAAGGTCAGTGGATGACTTGGGGCGAAGTCACTTTAGAAGAGACAGGGCTTACCAGTGACCATTTGATCAATTAAGTAGCAGGTGCTTGATTGAGGTCAGGGCTAGCTTTAATAAACATTACTTAAAATGTTCTGAAACCTTTCTTTAATGTCTAAAATTACTTTGGACTCCAACCAGTATTTTTTTTTTAACATCAGCATTGCTCTTACCATTATATAATGTAAAATCTTAAAATGAGGCTGGTTCTGGGCTTAATATTACCAGCTTCTGCAGCATGATAGGCTGACTCCTGGCTGACCCAGTTTCTTGATCCCTGGAGGCTAGGTGTAGGTGTTTATTATGCCCAGCAGATAATAAGCTGGCACTACCACAGCCCTACAGAAGAGCCAAGAGAAAAGGGGGAAAACACATGAGCAATGCTTCAGATAGCTATTCTGTGCTGATATCTAAATTATAATCCACGGATCTGAAAGGAGGGCTGTATTCAGAACCATAAAAATAGTCTACACTTTTAGGGCAAAGATTTTTGTTCACCTGTATCTTTCTCACCTCCAGATTGCCACCTCCCATCCCAGAAAGCTCAATGATGGAACACTAAAAGCACCTTCCTGAAGTTATGGCTTTCTGGCACACACAACAAATTATATAGCATTAAAATGACCTCCTTCTAAAAAGCAAAAAAAAAAAAAAAAAACCTATGTTGAACTCCATAATAACATGAGGTACGTATTTAGAACCACAGATAATTCCAGTTACAAATGCATTTCTACTAGGACTTTAAAAACTTTGATAAGATTAGTTGAATGGCATTAGATAGACTTTCTTAGTTCACTCATCAAGCCTATACAAAGGGAGAGCAAGTGCCCCTTATATGTCAGGGAACCCACCTGGAATTAAGAGTTTGAGTAATTCATTTTCAGGACCTAGATTACACAGGTCTAAAATGAGAGTCACCAAGCTACAGCTCATGAGCCAGCCACCTAGTTTTATAAATAACGTTTCAATGGAATACAGCCATGTCTGTTTGTTGAAGTATTGCTTCCACACTGCCATGACAGAGTTGAGTAGCTGAGACAAAGATCACACCTGCAAAGCTGAAAATATTTACCATTTCGCCCTTTAAGAAAAATGTTCCAACTCCTGCTCTAGAAGGATGACCAAGGACCAATAAGTTTTAAGGAGGTAGAAAATTATTCCACTGAGTAGAAAGCTATCAACTATCACAGTACAAAATTCAAATGAAGTGTGTTTGTGAAGTAGTGAGTTTCCTGTAGCTGGAAGCGTTTAAGCAGCTCTTAAAGGACCCCAGCTTAGAATTGTGCTGAAGGAGATGTATACACCATTCAAAGGTACACCATTAAATAACTTCTGAGATTCTGCATCATTTTATGTCATCAATTACTCAGAGGTCCAGATTAGACTTCTTGAAAAACAGTCTCACTTGACTAACAAAGAAAACATCTTACATTCTAACTAAGAAAATTAGGCTAAGGAGATCCCTGGGCATCTTCTGATTGCCAGTTCATCTGTAATTGGCCCAATGAAGTGACTCCACTGGACAGAAGCCATGTCTAATTCTGTGGCCATTATAGGTCTTAACATGCTACGGTTGTTCCATAGAGATTTGTAAATATAATTTAATGATGTTTCTGTGTAATCCAGATCGCCAGATCTTTCTGCAACCTTATAGAGAATGCCGAGGCAGAAAATATATGTGTCAACCCAATTATATACTCTGAAATATCTGCTGCACTGTTAGGTATTGTATCCTAGAAATTCAGGTGCATGGGCTAGTGGAAGAATAAAGTAAGGCTTAAAAAGATATCAAAGATTCATCCTTGTTATTCATTTCTTAACAAAATTGCTTTTATAATAAACTAAGCATTTGGGATGGGTATTTTTGGGAAGTTTCCAATTAAAGTGTTTGACATGTCTACTACATTTTAGTTAGGGAGCCCCATGAGATTGATCTGAGCTCCATTTCTTTGCCAGAGGAACACACTTTGCAATTCTCAAGCCAGTTCTTTCTTTGACCAATTTGGCAGAGCAACTGGCTGGGTTTGCAGGTAGTAGAGCGAGTACTCTTAGTAAAACGTTCATTTTTATAGTGTTGGCTTCCACCTAAATATCAGCGGGAGGCAATACCACTTGGTCAAGTCTGCCTTGAAGCTACATCAAAGGCACTGAGCTTAATATGGCCGGGAAGAGAGTAATCCAACAACATTTGAAACTTTGGGTTGTAGCCAAGGATAAGTAGGTTGAGAATTTTAGCTCTCACTCTAAATTAGAGTCACTTAAGCTGTATCCTGAGATGGATCCATCCAACATCACTGCTAATACAGTTCAGGACAAGAAGCAAGGTGGGCAGAATTACAGCTCAAACATCTCAGAATGGGGCAGAAGTGGACAAGAGTGAGGAAGTTATCTTATATTTAGTCATAAAGTGTTTGATGACCATGGAAACCTGACTTAAAAAGAAATAAAAAATAGCCAAGTTATTTAAAATCTTGCCATTTTAAATCTTTCAAATAAAGGTCATTTTGTTTTTAAGACTAGGGAATAAAAAGTCAAAGAGGACTTTTAACTTTTTTAAAAAAAATTTCAAGTTCCAGAACCAGCTGGAAAAATCTCAAGATACACCTAGTCATGGCTGCTATATTTATATAGGTCATTTAATTAAGCAGCAAAAAGACAGGTAACACACAAGCAAACCATCCAATAAAAATAAGTTATCGTTATTGCAAAAGTCACTGTGAGAATGTTAAGCTAAAACACTGCACTGCACAATTTCAGAAACTCCAAAGAATAAAAATATCTGCTCGGCTTTCAGTTTCAGATCTCCTCTGCTTCCTCATCCTGCCCTTATCGTTTCCTCATTGATACTCCCCCAAACATATCTCTATCATGGTACCTCTGCAGTTCGGAAGTTCCATGTATCTACACGTCAGCCTCTCCTTTGGAACAGCATGCTCTTAGACGAATGTGGCCTTAGTATTTCAGGATCCTTGGCACCTGGCAAATCAGCCAGCACACAGTAGGCACGCAGATGTTCAAGGGCACACAACATGTTAAATGTTTGAGCTAGCACGCTCAAATGTTGACGTTGAATGTTTCAATGTTGATGTAGATCTACAAATGGCATTGACAGTGAGTAAAAGCACCCTCAGGGTTCATGGCACCCACCCTTAAGCATCCTGTCTCACCCACTGTGCCCATTGCCAGAATCTGTGCCTCTGTTTCCACCCGTTCTATACTCTGAAGTGCACACCTCTGCCTCTTTAAATCCTACCAACCCTTTAAGGCAGTACTTCTCAAAATCTGGCCCATGAACCACTTGATTAAAAACCATCTGGGATGCTTCTTAAAATGCGGATTCCTTGGTCCCAGATCAGACATACTAAATTGAAATCTCTGGGAGTAAGCCCCTCCATTGATTCTGATGCTCATTATCCATGAACCATACTTTAAGAAAGTTAAATGTCAAGTCAAACCTGGTAGTGATGCCTTCACAATGAATCAACCAGGCAATGTCACGGTGTCCCGTCTGCACTCAGGGCTGTGCCTGACACATAACCACTTGGCAAAAGACTCCAGCCCCACACATATGGTGACATAATACAGGGTGTAGGCTCATCCTCAGAGGAGAGTCCCAAAGGCATGACCATAGAGATAGGTGTGGGACCTACTGGCTCCCATGACAACAGGCTATAGTTCCTTTGACCATTTATTATTGATTTTGAGCAGTAATTCGTTTTGCTCCTGCCTCGTTCTGAAAATAGATCTGAGACAACTTATAGAAATACCATTTTATGGAATAAACATTGAACATATGTGGAAATAGGAATGAAGGGAAAATGGGGCAAGAAAATAAGATACAGTTAATATAGGATACTAAATACCATATGATAAAGAGAGGTTGATCTGACTTTTGAAGTGACCAAAGAATATAGAAACATGTTCATTTATAAGAGTCTCAATATTCATAAGATAAAACAACAGTTGGTTAGAAAAATACTGAATTTTCCTGATACTGGCAATCCGAGCTAAGCACAGCTTCATACTCTGCAAATCATATTGGTGACGTGGAATCCTGATCTCCACCCCTCCCCGGTGGAGGTACAAGGGTTCATCAGTGATTGCCTTTTGTAGATGAAACACACTGTGGACAATGGAAATCTGCAGGAAAGCGCTAAGCTCTTGTCCTGAAGGGTAGAATACTAGTAGCATCAATGTGGAAGATCAAAATGGTGGTACTACAGGTCTTTCCTCTTTTACCAAGACACCTGATGCTGCTAAATAATACAGGATTTCTCGATTTTTTGCTTTGACAGATTCATCCTCTACTGATTCCAGGATTAGGACATCATCATAACATAGCAGGAAATTCACAATCCTAGAGATGGGGGTATGGTGAGATGCAAGAGCATTAGAGGACTATGGAAATTATGGGAGCATGACATTCTGAAATTGCACGACTAAGGAATTGGAAATATTTCTCAGGACATGATGATTATCTGGACACTGGCAATGAATCTTGATCATTCACCTCGGTAAGCTTAATAATGGGAAACATCTCCGCCCCAGTCAGAAGCTGACTGTAGGAACTGAGCTTATTCACGGGGTATTTGTGGTCCTCCAAACTGGCATAGCCCCCAAGGGTTCTACTTCATTTTCCCCTGCATTGACATAATGCTTCAGCCTCGTAGGTTTCTCTCATAAGCATGAGCTGCTCAAGTGCCAGAGGGTCCATCATATATAAGTGCTTTCTAGACCTCAGAAACCCAGTAAGCACTGCCTAAACTGTTCCAGTTTTCTTTTTGATGGTTTCCTGCTCTTAGCATAAGAGAATGATGTCTGAAATAGTATGACAGGTATGGAACAGGAAGATCTTTTTAATGGCCCCTTATTGCAAACAACTCTAATAAAAGCTTCTAACTACTGAGTACTTAAGAGGTACCAACCACTGGGCTAGGCTCTTTACATGTATTATCTCAATCCTCCCAACCACCCTGAGAACCCAATGCATTTATTATTTCCATTTCACAGTGCTAAACTGGAGCACAGAGAGGAAAACTCACCGAAAACCAAACACTCTCTAAGGGGTAAGGCCCATATTCAAACACAGTCTGACTCCAGCACCTGCCAATCAAATGCCAGCATCCCAGATCACTCCAATTTAAAAGGTTCCAAGGGAACAAAGCCCTGTATAAATAACACTGTATTCATTTCTTATTGCTGCCTTCAGAAACTGAGCAGCTCAGAACAACACAAATGTATTCTCTCACAGGCCTGCAGGTTAGAAGTCCATAGCCTGGCACAGTGGCTCACGCCTATAATCCCAGCACTTTGGGAGGCTGAGGCAGGAGGATCGCTTGAGGCCAGGAGTTCATGACCAGCCTGGGCAACATGGAGAAACCCCATCTCTACAAAAAAAAAAAAATTAGCTAGTCAAGGTAGTGCATGCCTGTACTCTCAGCTACTGGGGAGGCTGAGGCGAGAGGATCGCTTGAGCCCGGGATGTTGAGGCTACAGTGAGCCATTATTGTACCGCTGCACTCCAGTCTGGGCAACAGAGCAAGACCTTGTCTGAAAAAGAAAAAAATGTCCAACAGGGGTCTCCCTGTGCTGAAAACCAGGTGTCAGCAGGACTGTGCTCCTATCTGGAGGGAAGAGGGAGGATATGTTTCCTTGCTCATTCAGGTTGTTGGCAGAATCCAGCTCCTCACAAGTACAGAGCTGGGCTCCCCATTTCTTTGCTGGCTGTCAGCTCAGGGCCCTTCCCAGCTTCCAGAGGCCACTGCATTCCTCGGCCTGGGGACCCCTTCCTCCATCTTCAAAGGTGCTCATGTTTCGAGTCCCTCTTGCCTCTTCTTCCATCAAATCCCTCTGATTCTTCTGCCTTCCTCTTCTGTGTTTATAAGGGCCTATGTGATTAATAATCCAGGATAATCTCCCTATTTTAAGGCCAGCTGCTCAGCAACCATAATTCCCTTTTGCCATATAAGGTGGCATATTCACAGATGTAACACCAGGAGGCGAAGCCCACGGGGCTGGAATCCTGCCTACCGCAAACACTGACATCGAACATCTAAACTTCTCTAAATCATCTCCCATACGCAGGGCTGCCCTTGTTTTTGTGAACCGAGGTAATGAAGTTTTGCGGATTGTCCTCGGTAAATAAAACTTTCTTAAGAGCCAGGCCTTATGGGATTCGTTCAGAAGGTAGAAAGGAGGAGAGTGTGTCACCGGTTTGAACTGGCACTGACCAATCCCCACCCCCAGGAGATGACAGCTCTCTCTCACGCTACCTGGAACAGGTGTGAGTTGGCCAACAGAGTGGAGACAAACCAGGTGGAAAATGAAGCTGGATTTCAATCTGGTCATTTCAGGTGGCTGAGCACCTGTGAACAAGGCCCAGCTCACTGATGAAGTTTCCCGTGGGCCAACTAGCTTCAAAGACGCGAATACCGTCTGCACCGTGACGGCAGATGACACTCCTAATTCTAAGCAACCAGCTCACAAAGGTGTGTTTTTAATTGTAAGGAGGAATGAGGGAAAGAGTTCCAGGAGGATCGGGTTAAGTCTATTTAAATGTCTATTTAAATCGTAACCTTTCAGATTTTAGTTACTGGAATTAGTACTTTTTCCACAAGTTTTCATCTCTTGGGTGCAATTCACAAATTTGTCACCTAATTGCCCCTCTTGGTTAAACAGTCTAAATTTAATTGCAGGAAAGAAAAAATGTAAACTATTTTAAAATTTCAAAAAGACCCTCAAATGCTGTAAATACAGATTAAACGGGAGGGGGGATGTTACCTAGACAATTGCAAAAATGCCCCAGTTCGTCTCCCATTTCAGGCCTCTTCCACACTGCAGCCAGGAATATCTCCCAAAGCACACATCAGTCATTCCACAGTCTTACTAAAAAGTTGTAAATAGTTCCTCATTGCCTACAAAATAAAGTCCAAACTCCTTAGACTGGCTTCATTATCCCTCAGCATCTGGCGTCAGCCTACCTTTGCAATCTCTTCCCCTGCCGAGTACTGTGCCAGCACCAGTAGCCACTCACGCTCGGATTCAGGCACCTCGGACCTCTCAGGGCTCCCGCAGCACCATCGAATCAACACTGCCCCTGATGCATTCCTCCGGCGGGAATGCCTTTGCCTCTATACCTACCAAGGGAAATCCAAATTCTCTTTCCACGCTCAGCCTGAATGTCATGTACCCTGAACTTAACCATACCTTCCTTGGTGCTCCCTCAATATTCTCTCTCTCTCTTTTTTTCTTGAGACAGTTTTGCTCTTGCCACCTAGGCTGGAATGTAGTGACGCAATCTCGGCCCACTGCAACCTCCGCCTCCTGGGTTCAAGTGATTCTCCTGTCTCAGCCTCCCGAATAGCTGGGATTACAGGCAGGCACCACCACACCCGGCCTCTTTTTTTTTTCACCTCTATCATAGATACCATCATGCTCTGTTTGGGCCAGCTGTCTGTGCATCTCCTCCTTCCCTCAAGCCAGCTGCCACATCTTCCTGTCATTTGTATCCTCATCCTGCCCCCTCCCTACTGCAGCCAGTACTCACCACAGTGCCTTGAAAGGGACCAATAAACACTGGACAACCAAATTAACTCTGTCATGTCTAACACTGAAGACACTCCCTGAGTTTAAAAACCTTTTATTCAAGGCTGAGCATGGTGGCTCACGCCTGTAATCTCAGTGCCTTGGAAAGACAAGGTAGGAGGATCCCTTGAGGCCAGGAATTAAGGCACCAGCCTGGGCAACATAGTGAGACCCCATGTCTACAAAAAAAGAAATAGCTGAGTGTGGTGGTATACGCCTGTAGCCCCAGCTACTCAGGAGGCTAGGGTGGGAGGATCGCTTGAGCCCAGGAGTTTGAGGCCGCCTTGAGCCATGATTGCACCACTGCACTCCAGCCTGGGTGACAGAGTGAGACTCTTTGTTCAGGGTGTGTCAAGTAGTCCTTAGATGCCATTTTTTTAGAGACACACTGTCACTGCATCTCCCAGAACATAACACAATGCAGCAACAGGACCTATACACTTTTTCCTTCATAGGCTATTTGAAATCCTTTTATAAATAGATCTTTTGGGCATTCCACACACAGAAAATTATTAAAACAATGAACAGAGTTCCATTTCTGGCAATGGCCAATACGATCCTATTGGACTGACCCTCCCACAGATTAGAAACATAAACTCTGGCAAAAATGATTTTTAAAAAATAACACCCAGCTACCTGAAGGCACTGGAGATTGACCAAAACTAGGCACATTCTGGGCACTGATACTGGAGGCGGGAAACAGCACTGTATGTATTTCCCAATTTCATGACTTCTGGCTTAAAGGGAGGGCCTGGTCTGCACCAGGCTGGCCAGCAGGAATGCCAACAGGAAACCAACAGCCTTTCTGCCCGGAGAATCAGAGAACAGATCTGGGGCATCCCAGAAAGGAAGGGAACCTCAGAAAGGAAAGATGAAGAGAGTTATGGTCCTAAATTCTGGGTGACTCCTGGACCACCCATGCTCAGGGCAGATAACAAGCAGCCTGAGGGAACTTTCTAGTAATGTTCTGTATCTTGACAGAGGTTTGGGTTACAGTGGTGTATACACACACCAAAACTCATCAAATGGTATGCTTAAGAAATGTGCATTTCATTGTATAGAAATTTTACCTCAAAAATCTATAAACATTGAACTTTAATGGCAGGCAAGCAGAATTATTTAGAAAGCAGTGTACTGATGTCTGCAACTTTTTGTTTTGAGATGGAGTCTCACTCTGTTGCCCAGAGTGAAGTGCAGTGGTGCGATCTCAGCTCACTGCAACCTCGGCCTCCTGGGTTCAAGTGATTCTCCTGCCTCAACCTCCCGAGTAGCTGGGACTACAGGCACCCGCCACCACACCAGGCTAATTTTTGTATTTTTGGTAGAGACAAGGCTTCATGTTTGAGACCAAAGTCCTGACCTCAGGTGATCCGCCCCCCTCGGCCTCCCCAAGTGCTGGGATTACAAGCGTGAGCAACCGTGTCCGGTGATGTCTGCAACTTTACTTTGAAATGTATCAAAAAAGAAAAAAGATGGACAGCTGAATGGGAAAATGGATGGATAAACAGAATAGATACCTGATAAAGCAGATACAGTAAATGTTAATCATAGAATCTAAGTGGAGGGTATACAGATATTTGCTGTAAAACCTTCCCCTTTTTCCATATGTTGAAATTTTGTTCACAATAAAATGCTGATAAAAGTTAAAAGATGCATCACAACTTGGAATTTGCTTCCTCAAAAAGGTGTGGAAGTAAATCACAATATTTGTAGAAATCAACATGAAGGAAGACAGGAATTCATTGTGGAATTGTAAACAGAAAGCACTTAGGTAAGAGTTTAGTAAAACATGTTTGCTGCCCAGTAGGAAAAAGCAGCATGTACTATAGTTGAACCTTAGAGAATCATGGAAATAAATTCCTCATCTCAGTGAAATGTTCTGGTGACATATTTTATTTGTGTAGTGTTAACAGGGCTACCCCGGTCATCTCTGGGGTTAGTGATGCTAGGTGGCACCTCAGGAGAAGTTTTGATTCTGAGTTCAGCTTCCTATGAGCCAGGTCTCAAGCACCAAGGGGCCACGAAAACATCACGTTCAATGAGAGAGGGAGGGAGAGCATGCATGCATGAGAATAAACAAGCATTTATCCTGCCCTGAAAACAAAGTCCTCTAGGTGAACAAGAAATCAGAGATGCCCAATCCATTGGCTTCAGAAAAGAGCATCTCATGTCATCCAACACTGAGAGGAGAATAGCAGTGCCCCAGTTAGATTGCATCCTACAGGCACAAGATAAATGATTCTAACAGAAGCCGGCCAAATGGAAAAAAAGGGCACAGATATTTCGATTGTCAAGACACATTAACCTTGTCAACCCTGAATAATGCAACATTATATACTATTGTTCGTTCCTAAATACAGCCCCCCAAAATAAAAAGCAAAACAGCAATAAACTACTTATTTGGGAGGGGGGTAGAGGGAGTATACACTATAGAATACACCTTCCTCTATATCTACATATATTTTGGAAGTGTAAAATACAGAAGATTACCACTTGATAGGACAGATGCATCTGAAATTATTTTCATTTTTCCCTTGGCTACATCCTTGAAGTTCATGGAATAAAATGTGAAAGATATTTGCTACTTCTGTGGTCTATGTCAAGCCATCTCTCTCTCTCCCTTTGCTCCATCCTAAGACTACACTATATCCTGGAAATGAAAGTGTTTATATCTCACATACTCTGGTAGGGAGTGCAAAATTTAAGTGGGATAAGAAGGGGGGGAAAGATCTCTGTTCCAGGACCTACCTGTCTCATTATACATAATTTAAGTACTGAAGGGTTGTTTAATTTTAAACAACTTTTATAGCAGTCTATAAAAAGAGAAACATCACATCTTGTATGCGCCTACTCTGATTTGACATTTTTTCCAACCTATTTGGACACACTTGTGCCCACTTAAGCAGGCTCTCCGGATTGGCCACTCAGGGTTTAATTCTGCCTGATTCATTTCACCAATGGTCTGGAAATACAGTGAAGCAATAATGCACATCTGTTTCGGGCAACGAACCAAGAGACCACCCGCCCCCTGGGTAAAGGTATCTCAATCCTGCCCATGGCTTTGATCAGTTTTCAGTTTTTAAATGCTCCCTGTTGCCTAGCGGGGAGCTAAGTGACTTTGCTTCAATAGACATTATGTCACCCCTCAGTCCTTATGTAAACAGAATGTCTAACACCTTCACAATGTATGCCAAGCCTACCAGCCTGAAGTGGAAGCTGACAAGATAAGTATTCTGCAACGGCACCTGCGTGAAGAGTCGTGCCTCCTTGCATGCATGAAAGCTCGAAGCTTTCTGCCTGGCACAACCAGGAAATTTAAATTGAGACTCAGCGGCATGTCTTTCTGACTTGTATTCATACTTATTAAAGTCATAATGACATCAGATAGAAGGAAAATAATATTTCTTCTTCCCAAAGCCTTTAAAAAAATTTAGAAAGTCACAGAACATAAACCCTGCAAGAAGGTAACTTCTCTTTTCCCTTTTTATAACCACTGCCACATACAGAACTTAATAAGCATTTCTTATAATAGCACACATGCTTCACAGTTTGTAATTCTCTCGTTCAAATGCTTGATGTTATTTGTAATGAGAGAATGGAAGGAGACGGCATACACCAGTTTTATTTTTGAGAAACTGACATTTATTCAATGTGCACTTATTGGGTATCGATGAAGGAAAGGCACCATGCTAGGCACTTGGGGGGAGGAGGGATGTGTCAAAGATGAATAAAACATTTTAATAGGATAGGAATCAGAGAAGTCAGTGTTGAAGGTGATTCACCAAATCCCACAGCTGAGGGGTAGCAGAGCCAACGCTGGAACTTCAGACCTCCAACTCCTTCGTTGAAGCCTCATGCAGCTCAGCTGCAAACAGGCATCAGAAATTAGAATGCTGCTCTAGGCTGGGTCTGGTGGCTCATGCCTGTAAGCCCAGCACTTTTGGAGGCCAAAGCAGGAGGATCGCTTGAGCCCAGGAGTTTGAGACTAGTCTGGGCAACATAATGAGACCCCATCTCTACAAAAAATTAAAACAACTAGCCAGGCATGGTGGTACACGCCTAGTAGTCCAGCTACTCAAGAGGCTGAGGTGGGAGGATCACTTGAGCCCAGGAGTTTGAGACTAGTCTGGGCAACATAATGAGACCCCATCTCTACAAAAAATTAAAACAACTAGCCAGGCATGGTGGTACACGCCTAGTAGTCCAGCTACTCAAGAGGCTGAGGTGGGAGGATCACTTGAGCCCAGGAGTTCAAGGTTGCAGTGACCTATAATCGCACCACTGCATTCCAGCCTGGGTGACAGAGAGGCCCTGTCTCTACAAAAATAATAATAATAATAATGATAATAAAGAATGCTGCTCCATGCCTCTCTGCATAGGACAAGTCCCCTGTCATTTGGCCCCAAATGTTCTTCTAAAGAGCCATGGCACATGGGTAAGCAAATTTCAGAAAGCCTTTCTTAACGAGATGGCATTTGAACTGGGGTTTAAAAAACAGAATTGAGAATGTGGCAGTGGGCAGTTTCACCAGGTAAATAGGCAAAATCACAGAGCAGAGTGTGCTGGCTGGATAACAGCATATGGAAAGATGAGTAGAAGAGATGGACAGGGTGGACCTCAGAGACATCAGCTTAATCTAGTGGCCACAGGAGCCAATGAAGGTGATGGAGGAGGACTAACAGATCACACCTGCACCACAGAAAAGCCAGCCTGTCAGGGATGCAGGGAGGGATTCACAGCAGAGAGACCAGTGCAAAAGTCAAGGCCAACGATTATAAAGACCTTCTGCAGGGAACTTAGGGATAGATGGAAAAGATGATGGGAAGATGGGAGTAAGAGATTTCAAAAGCAGGATCACTAAGCCTGGCAACTGACTTGATGTGGGCGAGAGGGCAAAGATTGAAGTTAAGCCTGAGTAACTAGCACTGTGGTTCCCAAACCTCAGTCACCGCTTGTCGAAGTGCAGATTCCCACACCCAAATCCCCCGAGTCAGGGTGGGGTCCAAGAAGCTGCTTGTTAATAGATCTGTGCTGATCCACAAACTTTGTTACCAGCTTGCAATGAGAGTACAGAAATGGAGTGTTTAGATGGTTTAACAGCAAGCTGACTGACAACTTTCTACAAATGGAATCTAATGATTAAAAGTTGAGGCTTGATTTTGAACATATTTTGGGTTTTTTTCCATGTCATTTTTCTACGAATGCACTTGTAATGAATTTTCGTGGACCCAAAAGTATGGGTCCACAAAAACTAAAAAATTTGAAAAACAAGTGGTTGTTGCACAAAGTTTGAGAAAAGCTGTGCTGCATGAGTCTGGGATGGGACCACACTTGGCGCATGCTCTGAACAGATGGGTCATAAGAGAGAAGGCAAACACGTGAGGAGGCACTCACAGCTGGGGGACATCTCTGCAGATGCATCTGACTTTCTGAACCCAACAGCTACCACCAGGCCACCGAGCCTTGGTGGCAGGTCACCTGGGAGCCTGGTACCTGCCCATCATCCTGACCTATGGCCACATGTTCTCTCTTTACTCCTGCAACTGGGTGTGACCTCCTCCCTATGCCCAGCTCCCTGCCTGTGTCCTGTCTCAGCCCAGTGTGCAGGTCTCATGCCACAGGCCAACCCTTCTGAATCTTTTGTTGTATTTCAGAAAATATCCCCAAATACAGCAGCAGTCTTCAAGACAGGAAAGGAACCAAGAGTGAGCAGGCAGTGTTGTAGAAACTAAGGAGAGGATTTTTTAGAAGCGCTAAAAAATAGCCCAGTAGGGAAAAAAGCATCGTCAACATGATCAAGGCTTTTGGAAAGGAGGATGAAGACTCAGGACAGTCATTAGCTGCCTTCAACGAAACACTTTCAGCAGATGGATGGGGATGGAAGTCAGACCACAAGGGCAGAGAAGACAGTGGGAAGGAAAGAGTAACCTCCCCAAATGGTGGGCAGGTAGGGGACAGTTATTTCACAAAACTGTTCTATTACATGACTGGGTGCTATTTGGAACATTCAGTTAACATTGCTCTAAATATTAGTTTTCTCCAAAAACCTCCAAATTCTCCCCTATCTTACTATCTACTAGTTCTTACTGTAAAAGTAAGAACTTTTATGTATCTGCAGCTGTAAAAGTGTAAGTATTTGCCTTGCTGAGATAATAGGATAATAAGTGACATCAGCCATTCTTTAAGGCAAAAGGCCATAAAGAAATACAGTACTTGTATTTTTGTGCAGAAAAAAATGCAGTTTCTATTTAAGCTTCCAGAATATTTGGAGAAGGATGAGCATAGGGAAAATGTCAGGGGTAAATTGGAGTCTACTTTCCTAGAGTTCTTGGATTTGTGCCCTACCCAAATTGCCCAAATTTAAAACAGAAACACAGGGAAGCATCTTTGTGCTGTGTTCCGGCAGGATCAAATCTTCTAAATTACAGTCTTTAGAAACAAAATGCTGACAGGGTCACCACAACGCAAAACTACCCCCAGACACTTGCTTCCAAAATTAGAAAAGAAGTCTGCCTATTTTTATTATTATTTCCCAAAATCAATGTGGAAAGTGAGACATAGGGTAAAGGTCAATCACAGTTGCCAAGAGCAGGCTTGACCCTATGAAGATTTGACCCCATGGTTCTCTGATCCAAGAAAACAAGCCATGAGGATCTTCAGCAAATTCCATTCTTAAGGATGTACAAAGCCCGTAAGAGAAAAGCAAGAAGAGCCAAGGTGTCGATGAAAGATGGGACTTTGCACAGCACTTCCTGTGTGTTGGGAGTGATGATTTCATTCCCTAGCACAGGAGATGCTTTAAAGTGTAGCTCAGAATGTGTTCACCATCTTCCCTGCCATGATGGTTGCAGCCATGCCTACCTATGTCTAAGTTTATCGAACTGTACACTTTAAGCTGTTCCTTATACGTCAATGTGTCAAATTAAGCTGCATTACCAAAAAATTTAAAAAGAATCGTCTTGGGAATTATCTAGCCTGGGGTTTCTCAACTGTGTTCCAGGGAATTAAGAGCCTTTAGCAATGAGGGTCCAACCTGGAACAGAGAACCTTCTGCAAGAGTTTACAACAGAGGGGATTTAATGCAGGGATCTGGTGGCACAGAAGCGGGAGGGCTACACGGCCAAGCAGGTCGTGGTGAGGCAGCCCATGGATTGGCAACTGCAGGAAGCCACGTTCCCTCTTATGAAGGAGGGAGGAGAGCCAAGGGGTCCCTAGCATAAGATGGGGACCAGAGAGAGCTGGAGCCACAGAAGAGCAGAGCAGCTGGAAACGCAGCCTCCTAGGGTCCCTCCCCTGATCTATGAGGACAACAGGAGAAGGTTCAGGAGTGGGTGTGGGGGCAGAGAGGCCTGGGTCTGACACAAGGGGGTTTCAGCCAAAAGGGGTTAGAGAGTAAAAGTCAGTTCAAACTCTGCTGAACCAAGTTAGCAGGCTTCTTTACTTCTGGCCTTGTCAGGGCATTAACAGGAGAAAGATTTGTAAACCTCAAAGAGAGGAATAGAATAGAAAGTGCTTCTACGGCCTTTTCTTGCAGAACATTTTGGAAAAGTAGTAACTTTTTGAAAAATGCTGATCTAGCCAATACAGTTTCCAGACAAGGAAGGAGACCTAGAAATTTGGTTAAGTGGCTTGAACAAGATATTACAAAAAAGAAGAAAAAAAAAAGAAGAAAATATTACAAAAAAGAATAATACTAAGAACTAGAGCCCAAATTCAAGCCTCCTGGATATTAATCCAGTTCTCTTTCCTCTATAATAAACCGATCATAAGCATCTTCCAGCACTGTCAAGAAAACCAGCTACTTAACCATTGCAGTGGGTGAAAATGAGTCATTTCTGTGGTAGAAAACTCCCAGACTCCATGGACGTGTATAATCTGCTCTGCTAGATCCATAGCAAAGGCTCCAAAACTATAGGTAAGAGCACATACGAAAGTGGAAATAAGTGCAATGGAGTTGCCAATTTTATTAATGGGAGGAAAAGAAGAGAAAAAAAAAAAGGGAAAGCAAGACAGAAAGGGACTCTAACATCCACTGGATACCTCCTTCACCCCTGCAGCTACGTGGGATCATCCTACGATGACAGGTATGTGCATGCATAACAACAGGGTCAAACAATCTCAACAAATCAAGAGTTGGTGTTAGAAGGCTCTGCCCTAAACAGACCCCATAAAAATGCAAAGGCCTGCTCCATGCATGGCCTTTCTCCATGGGGGGAAAGGCAACTCTCCAGATATCTTTGGCTCCAGGCACCTATGGCTTTCTTACTCTTCCCTTCATACACCTTAGTCCTGCCCATGGATATCACTTCTCTTTTTGCTCCATTAAACACCTATCCTCCCACAGAGAAGTATTAAACCACAGGACATCCTAAGTCAGATGTTATGAGACAAGGCTGAATTTCTCAAGCCCAGTGACAGTGCCATGGCCCCAAGCTCTTTTTTTTTTTTGAGATGGAGTCTCGCTTTGTCACTCCGGCTGGAGTGCAGTGGTGCAGTCCTGGCTCACTGAAATCTCTGCCTCCCGGGTTCAAGCGATTCTCCTGCTTCAGCCTCCCAAGTAGCTGGGATTACAGGTGTGCTCCCACGCCTGGCTAGTTTTTGTATTTTTAGTAGAGACAGGGTTTTGCCATGTTGGCCAGGCCGGTCTTGAACTCCTGACCTCAAGTGATCCACCGTCCTCGGCCTCCCAAAGTGCTGGGATTACAGGTGTGAGCCACTGCGCCCGGCCCTCTTCCCCATTTTTAAGAGGTTTCCTCTGTAAGGGAGCAGAATAGGGTGGGAGATAACGGGCGGGCAAATTAGCTGGAATTCAGTAATACCCCACTACAATGAGTAACTGACGTGAAGAGAGATGGAGAGAATTCACTAAATGTCTCACCTGCACAATATTTGTAAAGGAATAAACACAAACCCCTAATATCCCTCAAACGAACTGCTCTTCAGTTACCACATTTCTGTCTCCATTATTGTATTCTCATATTTATTTACCATTAACCTGTGTAGCTTTGTCATAGAAAACAGTCCAAAGGCAAATAAGCCTATTCGATATATCACTTACAAAGACCTCTGAATTGATGGAGTCTCTGTTAATTTAGTTTTACTCTGATCTAAATAGTCTCTCCTGAGGAAGCCTTTTAAAGTCCTCTGATCCTGCCCTTAGGGCCAGTACGATATTTTGTCAGTTTCTCAATTCTAAAGTCACATTAAGTTTTAATGTAAGTTTTCAGAAAGGAAAAATATTTAACCTCTCCCCTAATAACCCCCCCAAATTTTAATAATTCACAAGCACAAAATTCCTATAATTCTTGTTCATTCTTCAGGCTTCTTTATTTTACTCCCCCAAATCCTGCCTAGCATGGATCAAACAGGGCACAAGCCAGGGAGAAATTTAATCACTCATATCTCTGCCTGAGGGATTGTCTAGGTACTATGGTGACAGACACCTCAGTCAAACTATGCGGAGGAAAAAAGATTTTTAAACTCCTAGACTTAAAAACAAAGAAAGAAAAAAGAAAGATTTCTGATGGATTTGTTGTCAACACATAGAAGCACTATAAAATAAATCCCACATTGTCATAGACTATCAAAATTACTTCCTTAGGGACCACTTTAGTAAAACCCCAGAAACAAAATATTCTTCAACTGAGGTATTTTATAATTCTTTCCCCGAACTCTGCGTATTTTGAATTTTTATACTTTCATTGACTTGTTTTTCCTTGTTTAATGTACAGCTTCTCCACAGAGGATTTGTAGGGCAGAGTAGTTTCACAACTCCTCGGCATGATACTATAGCGGTGGATAACATCATTACACATTTGTCCAAATCCACAGAATCTGCAACACTACGAGTGAACCGGGATGTAACTACAGACTTTAGGTGACAATGATGTGTCCATATAAGTTCATCAATTGCAACAAAGATACCAAATTCTGCTGGGTGATAATGGAGGAGTCTGTGCACCTGTGGGGCAGGGGGTACCTGGGAAATCTCTGCAAAATTTTGCTCAGTTTTGCTGTGAACCTCAAACTGATCTTAAAAAAAAACCCTCTCTTTCTAAAAAATGTACAGCTTCTCCGTTGTTAACTTATTCCGATATGGGAGTCTACAAATAAAATCTGAATAAAAATCAAAATTAAGTAAAAACTTTTAGTCCTTAATTTTGTAGTTTACAAAACTCAGTCTTTGGACTATTTAAATGTAATTCATAGATTCAAAAGGAGGGAGGGAAAATAACTGGTCTCAGAGAATAAGCAAGGCTAATATTATAAGAAATCTCCTGGCCTAATCAGCTCTTACCAATGATATGGTTCACTCATGCTCTGCTGAGACACAAATCAGAATTTTTTTTCCAGCCCATGTTCACGTACAGGAAACCAACAGGACTGTAAACACAGCAACAACAATCAACAAACGCAGACGTTCTGGACGGTGAAAGGGCAAGCGGCAGGAGAGTGATAATAAGGCCCGTGGCGGATATCGGAGGTCAGGGTGGAGCGGGCTCCGGGGCTCTGCCTCCGAGGGGCACTGTTTTCTGCGCCCTGTGAATCCACTCCACTCCACTTCCCCCCGTGGCCAGCTGAGCTCTTTGGTGATATGAAAACAATCTGAACATATAATCGGCACTGTGTGGCAAGGACATTTTAGGCCTAGGACAATCCTGACCTGGCCAGCAGGAGGATCAGTCATCAAGGGCGTATGCCTATAAATCTGAAAGTCAGGAAGGCTCTCCCACTTGGAACCAGAACCTCATCCTGCAAAAATGTTTGAAGGAGATTCTTCGACCCAGTCATCTGGGACTGTGCTTGAGATAACGAGACCGTGGGGACCCATCAAGGAATTAACTGATGTAATTTAGATATCATCTCTATTATGGTCCCAATCTCCTTAATAATGGAGATGGGAAGGGCAGGAAGAGAATCAGTGGATATCAGTGGAACAATGCCACTCAGAGCAACGTGGTTTTCAACTCAATTTCGGAGCAGAAAACAATTCTTTGGAGTCAACAGTCCTTTGGACATTTATAGATATACATAGCATTTTCTTTTCTAAAAGTAGAGTTCTTGGAGAAGATGCTATCCACTAAGAGAAAACCCCAACAATTCCAGATTTGGGTTTCCTCGGCTCTTCCAGGGTTGTGCTCTTGCCTGCTTTTGTAATTTCTCCTTCATTATCCACTCCAGCCTGGCCAACAGCCCTATTGCTCTGATGCACTAGGATCTCTGTGTGTTTTCATGGATTGTCCCTCAATCTTAAGAGGTAACAGCAGTAAAGAGAAAATGGTGGTGAAAACATCTAACAAATTTAACTGCGAACAAACAGATTAGATGATATGCGAGAACTTTTCAAGCTCTAAATTCTATGATCTATGGCGAACATACATTCACCAGTTATCCCAAACTCATTTAACCAATAAACCCCAAATGGGTTTTCTGTTGCTGGGGCATACGTGTCCCCAGAAAAACCATGTTAGGGATGGTAGCTGTGTTCCCAGCCTGGCTTCAGACCCTTAACTTTATGCATAGGGTGCTGAAATACTACATATTCACATTGGAAAAAAAGTATAGACAACAAAATCTTCAAAACACTAGTGACTGAACACAAAATCTGATAAATTTCAGTGACCCACAATGTGTTACTGATTTCTAATGCTTGTAGTAAAAGGTGAACAGGGGGAATGCAGGTTCTGAGAATTTCTGGTACTCTCGAAACTTCAGAGGTTAATGGCACTGAAAAATTAGAGTTAACTCTAATTTTCACCGAAGTGGTGATGGCTTTCCTTCCCCTTCATACAACTATCACCACTTTCATATATTCCAGGAGAGACTAGTGCCGTTTTCCGACTCACACGTTTCCAGTGGGTAAAAGCTGGATCAGAGATGGGAGTGAGGGTGTTGAAGAGAAGGTAAGGGTATGATCAGAAAAGAAAGTGTATTTGAATAAAGTTAACTCCGCTGTCGTGATGAAAACAGGGAAATAAGAACAACATAATGCACTGGTTCCTTGCGGGGAACACAAGAGAAGATGCCAGCTATGCCCTATATCTGCCCCCCAGGTGACACCCTGCGGCTGGAGCAGCCCAGCTGCTGGGCACATGGCTGGGTTATGCTGTGGCCTAGGGAGGGGGGGACAGGATGGTTAATGTGTAACAGCTGTTTACGTGAATGGGGCCTTGGTAAATTGTCTATTCCTATCTTAGGGAGTTTCTGCGGTGATTTCTACTCCTTTTACTCATATATTTATGAAAACTAGTGAAAAACAAAATTGTCTAATTAAAATATTGTCTACTTTTCTTCCCACTACTGGAAGCACCAAAGATGGCAAAATGACTAAAATTCTGAACAGAAGAGGAAGAAAAATAGAATAAAGATCGAAGTAGAAAAATTAAAACTGTAACGACGTTGTGCTAAGTTAAACAATAGTCATTCCTGGCCGGACGCAGTGGCGTGAGCCTGTAATCCCAGCACTTTGGGTGGCCAAGGCAGGCAGATCACTTGATGTCAGGAGTTTGAGACTAGCCTGGCCAACATGGTGAAACCCCAGCTCCACTAAAAATACAAAAAAAAAATATTAGCCAGGTGTGGTGGCGGAGACCTGTAATCCCAGCTACTCTGGAGGCTGACACAGGAGAATTGATTGAACCCAGGAGACGGAGAGGTTGCAGTGAGCCGAGATCTCGCCACTGCACTCCAGCCTGGGTGACAGAAAAAGATACTGTCTTAAAAAAAAAAAAAAATCATTCCCTAGAATAGTTCATTTTTGATATAAGATGGGAAGCAGAAAGTGAAGGATTGGTTTGTGAAAAAGTTACAGAAAGCTGCTTCATGATGCAAGACATTGTACCCTCTTCATTTTCCTTGTCTAACTCACCTTCGTAAATAGGAGTGAGGCAAAGACAGCAGAGCTGCTATCTTTTAGTTTGCTACGTTTGATATACTACGTTTGATATACTACATTTGATAGCCAGTATTTAGCCAGTATTCATAGTCAAGTAAAATATCAATTTGAAATCCAACATATAAAGTAGTTACTCTCTGAAGACACAGAGAGGCAACAAATTATATGCTAAAGCAAGCACTGAGCATTGTTTTTGTATTTAAACAGATTCTTATCCCAGGGAAGCCCTCCTCCAAGCTGATCAGAGGTAAGCTCTCAAATAGAGGAACTAACCATGATTCAGCACATTTAAAAAGGATTTATACCCATTCTTAGAAGGACACCCAGAGGAAACACCATCTGAGGTCTGAACAATAGTATCTGCTTGCCCTTTGATCTTAGTTTAAGAACACTTTGTACAACTTTTTTTTGTTGAAATGCCACTGAATTTCAAATTTACTCTTTGTAATCTCTTTAGAAGAACATCTACTGCTTCTTTGAATCACACTCTTGCAACCAAATTCTCCAAACTGTTTTTGCTGTGAGTAGCTTGCAGGCATGGATTTATTTTCTGCTAACAAAAATCTTCTTAAGTACAGGTAGCTTAAATGAAAAACAGTACTACTGATGCTATGTTTAGGAGAAAGAGATAGCGCATTATATCTAGTTACAAATACAAGTAGGGAGTATTCCATTTTTCTTCTTATTTATGTTTCCCAAGAGTAATTTTGTTCAGAAAATTGCCAGTATTTTTAGCACAAGTTTCTTGCTGCTTGTACTAATATATACTGATTCCCTTTTCTGAACACAATTTGAGTTTTTTAAATTGCCATTTAATCCTAGCATTTGGAGATAAATACCTCGTGAATTCAAATAAACAAGTGAAATCTGAAATGCAGATATTTAATTAAATGTTTTTACTACTCTCAAATGTAATGCATATTACAAATTAATATACATATGGGTGACTAATAAAAAAGGTGTATTAATAAAGCACGATGATTTACCTCAAATACTGTGAACCTCCCTGTCCTAAATGTCTTCACTGTAAACATTTTACTCAATAAAAATCAGGTATACCCTTTCTAAATAATCAAATCTTCCAAATCAGTGAAATATGAATTTGAAGCATGGGCTATGTCTATATGTTCACTAATTCAGCCTTTTCAAAGCATCTTCCATGTGGTCAGCATTATGTTAGGCACTTGGGCTACTGTGGTGGGTTAGCGTGGTTTCCGCCTTTGGAGGCTGACATCCTACAGGGGAGACAAACAAATGAGTAAGCAAATTTAACAAGAAAAAAGAAAAACTTGTGATAAGTACAAGGAAGGAAATAAGCAGAGTGCTGTCATGGTACAGAAGTGGGTGGGATGGAGGCATGACCAGTTTATATAGAGTGGCAGAGAAGGTCTCTCTTAGGTGAATTTTAAGCTAAGACCTGAAGGATACCTCTCCAAGGTCACCAAATTGGCAGGGATGCTGACTAGGCTGCCAAGACATTTTTAGCATTAGAAAACAAATAGAAAATGGCATCTGTGGCCCTGAGTGAATGCAAGTTCACGAGCTCGCTCACCCAGGCACTCTGCACACCAGCAGCCCAGGCAGCAGACGGTTAGCATTTAGAAGGTGACACATCCCAGCCTATTCACCCAGAAAGAGTTTGAAACAGTCAACATAAACAACAATGAGCTGGTTGGATGACCAGCACTTGCGCTATGAGAGAGAAATTTATCCTGTTGATTCACACTTCCTGATAGTCCGGCTGGCTTACAAGGCTCGGGGTGTTTCAAATGTATTTCATGAGTAAATTATTCCCCCAGTCCCAGGGAAGTCGGATGTTTACAACTATGTAATACTTTCCCTTGTACTTCCAGTGTGTAATTTACTTAACCTAGTAGGTATAAGCGTACTTTAAAACGCAGCGCTGTCATGTTTATCTTTCTGTAGATTCTTTAATAGATGAGTCAGGTAATGTGGCAGTTAACATGGCATTGACAGCAATTAGGAAATCTGTAATTCTCTAGTATCCCTATATAGAGAATCCAACATTGGTACGCAATAACTTTGTTCAAATGAACTGTCCTTCCTATGTTCAGAGTCATGGCAATCAGATTTTACCCCATTCTAGCCTCTGATGATGAAATACCCCTTTCCTATTGCTACATGGATTAAGATGAAATAGAATTGCTTCATTGGCAGGTGGCATGGCTTGCTGCTTGGATTCTACTTACCCGCAAAAGGTTTTCTCTTCACACTATCAGTATAGAGTCCAGAAGTGGACCTACAGTAGCTATAACTTGTACAAGGAGCCCAGTGATAGGAATATGAGGGGCTTGGGATAGAATTCCCATCCTAGAATTCTCTTTCAGTTCTGTGTCAGCCTGTCTTGGGGCCTGGAATTGCACTACTGGGTGAGTTCTCTTAAAAATTTTTAGGGGATTTTTTTAGATCTTTCAAAATCCTTTACGAAAAATGTCAATATCCCTAGGGAGATACTATGTTAAACCATCACCCTAGCAAGGATTAGCTGACAGCCAGCTTTAAGCAGTGTGACTCAGAGGCAGTGTGTCCCTGTAGCCCACGAAAAGTCAGAGAAGCAAGGAATAAGGGGAATTTGGAGGGTCACTAAATACAGTAAATATGACTATACTTTACAAATTCGCCTTAGGCCCAGCTCTTGAAATTTCAAATACCATCTAAGGCAGTGGTTTCCAAACACTGACATCACCTGAGATCTTGACAAAACAATGACACTGCTGGGCATGGTGGCACACTTCTATCTTCCCAGCAACTCAGGAGGCTGAGGCAGGGGGATTGCTTGAGGCCAGGAGTTTTGAGTCCAGCCTGGGCAACGTTGGGAGATCCTCTTTATTTTTGAACAAAAAAATACTGCTACCTGGTTTCCACCTCCACACATTCTGATTTGATATGGAGTGCCACCTGGGCATCTGGGTTTTTTTAAGGCGTTCCCCCCTACCTCCCACGTAACACCCACGTGATTCTAATGTGTAGCAATGTTTGAAAGCTTTGCTCTTCATCTCTTACTGGGACAATGTATCCATTTCCTTCAGACATTGGGATCTCCTGTGCCAGTGTTTCCTGACCACGGTAGCATATTAGAAAAACCTAAGGTACTTAAAAAAAATGATGCCTGTGCCCCACCCTCAAAAGATTCTGACCTAACTGATCTGGGCCCACGAAGCGGCCCTAATAACCCTAGAACTCTAAGTCCCCCGGGTGATACTACAGGGCAGCTAATGCTGAGAACCTCGGTTCAAGCCCAGGAATTGTTTTCCCAGGGACTGTAACACGATTCTCTGTGAAGTAGCCAGGAGCGCCAGTCTTCCTCCCCTTTGTCCAGGTTAGGACTACCCCCAAGAGGCAATAAAACATTTCCCCAGAGCTGCCAGGAAACCTGGAGGCGGGGTGGGGGCGGGGGGTGAGGGTGGAAGGAGAGGAGAGGAAGAGAGCAAGGGGAGGAATTTACTAAGTCAGAAGCAGCAGAAAAGTTAGAATAAGGAACAGCGCTGGTCCTCTGCCACCCTGGCCCCCACCCACTACAAATTTTATTGACTGGCATGAGAATTTCCTTAGAATGCTTCCTGGAGGTGGCTCAACCTTGGATTTGGTTCCAATAAATTGTGAAAATTCTTGTCCAATCAGAACCCCGGGCAGTGCAAGCAGCCAGATTGGCAGGCCCTGAGCCTGGACTCCTGTGAGATTCTGTTTCACGAATTTCCCAGGAGGATTTCTGCACCACTTGGATGCCAATCGCCCTGCCTCCACACCCTCCCTTGGCTCTTACCCCCCATGTTCTCTCCCTCAAAGCTCAGTGGAGTTGGGAATCATAGATAGGCTGGTAAAGAAATCACCCAGATAGTCTACGCGGGAATCATTCCAGTAAGTAATGCCGTTAAAAGATGAGCGTCTTTGACGTGGCTGGGAGACCCGTGTGCTCCTTTGGCGAGTGTCTGCTCACCCACTTCAGGGCCTGGGCACAACCACCGTCTCACATGGGAAGGAGGCCCGTGAAGCCCCACCCCGCCGCGCAGCTGCAACCATCCCGGGCGTAGCCAGTGCACCCATGATCTGTCCGCTGACAGCGCGTCCCTCCATCCTATGTCTGCGCTAAACTAAGTCAGCTTATGAATGAAAAGCAGTGCAAACCGGAGGCACTGACTCCGAAGAAAAGAGTCTTCTCTGCACCCTTCTCATTTACAGATGAGAAAACTCAGTGGGGTGGGAGGGGGGAGAAAGGGCGATGTGACTGGGTCCGGGTTTGCCACAGAACATTTGTGGCGGAGCTCCATTTAGCCGCCCGTGAATTTCCATTCTGTTGCCTGGCAACCGGTTCAGAGGAGCTCAGCGCCCAACCCCGGCCCCTACCCCGCACCCTTTCTCTGCCCGTGCAGCTTGGGCTGCATTGATCAAAGGTTCAGCCTTTGGGGACAATGGCCAAGGGCATGTGAGCCGGGGCACAGGATGGATTACCCCAGTTGAGCTTTCATCCCGCCCCAAACAGAAGCGAGCCCCGCCCGGCCGGGATCCGAGCGCCTTCCGCGGTCCTTTTGGGACTTCCCTCTGCAACCTCCCCTAGTGCCGTGGATACCTCTAAACATACTCATGCCAAGTTTTCAAAGTTCCCAGCCGCTGTCGGATTCCCTAAAAGTCTCGGTGGGAAAACTGCACTCCAAGTTAGGGGGCAAAAGGCGGCAGTTTAGAGGGGAAAATCGTACTGAAGAGCCCTCTTCCCAGGATGGCCACACTCGGGCTGGACTCTCCTGCTGCAGTTGAGTTAACCTGGCCAGAGCTGGGCAGAAGTGAAAAAAAGCGCGGAACGTGCTCAGGGAGTCCGCAAATACACGCCCGCTGGGGACAGCGCTCCCGGAGCCCCGCGGCCCGGCCGGCCAGCCGCCTCTGGGGGCCTCGGCGCGCAGCCCTGCCCGCGGCGCGGGGGAGCGCATGTGCCGCCCACCGCCGCGCAGGTGGCGGGAGCACAGCCTGCCTGTCCCCGCGTTCTCTGGCGCACCAGGCGGGACCCGCGCGCCGGGAGCTCCTCCACCCCCTCACTCCATCCCCTGGGCCCGGGACACTGAAAAGGGGGAAATGTTCTCGTCATTACGTTACCCCAAATCCTTACCCAGGTTCACAAAGCTCATGACCATGTCCGCGTCGTTGAGGAAGGCGCTGTCCTGCGCGCTGGTCAGTGGGGACGCGCCGCCGCTGCCAGATCCGGGGGCCAGAAGGCTCTTGCGGTTGAGCGGGTGCGCGGCGCCCGGGGGCGGCTGCCGACGCTGGGACGAGCTGGCTGCTTCGTGGGGCCAGGACTGCTGCCTCTCCCCCTCCGACGCCCCGTCCTCGTCGTTGTCGGCGGACAGGGCGTTGTACAGATCCAGCATGAAGAGGGGCGCGGACTTCAGTCGCCCGGGAGGGGGCTCTCCGCGAGGCAGCTGCTGCTGCTGCTGCTGCTCCTCCTGCTGCCGGAGCGCCGGGGGCTGCGGCTGTTGGAGGCCGTGCAGGGGCCGGGGCCGGTGCGGGAGCCCCAGCACCGACAAGATCTCCTTCTGCATCTCCCGCTTCTCCTGCGTCTTGAGCCGCCGGTACAGGAAGCCCGAGGAGGACTGCGGCGACGGCGGCGGCTGCTCCGTGCGGCCGGGGCTCCCGCCGTCCCCCAGCAGCTGCCCCCCGGCGGCGGCGGCCGCGGCAGCGGGCAAGGGCGGCCGCAGCGGCGGGGGCCCGCAGCAGCTGCACAGCAGCCCCCACCACCAGCACAGCCACTGCGCCCTCCGCCCCAGCCCCGGCATCCCCGCCCGGCCGGGCTGCCCCCGCGGATCCCGCGAGGCGTGGAGCGGCGGAGCGAGGCCGGAGCGCGGCCGCTGTGGCCCTTGGCGTGAGCAGTCCCCGCCACCTCTCGGCGGGCTCGCTTCCCCTTCCTGGCCCTCAGTCCTTATCTCTCATGGTCGTCCGGGGCGCCCCCAGTTGCCCAGGCTAGAGAGGTGGCGAAGGGGCGATCACCAGGAGAACCGCTTGGAGGGGAGGAAGGGGAGCCTCACAGCCTCGCGCAGGTCTCTAGAGGCGCGCGGTCCAGGCCAGGTGCGTCTGAGTCCGGGCTGCACTGCAGCCTGCGCCCTGGCTCCTGCGAGTCGCGGCGCGGTCACTCTGGGCCTCGCTGGCCGCACACGTGCGCTGCCCCGCGCTCTCCCTGGCGACTGAGTGGGACCCGGGGCAGCGGGGAGCGGGGCCGCTCACGAGCTGCGGGAGATGCCCGGCATCACCGTGGCGCACGCCCCTCCCCAGATCGCAGGGCCACCATGAAGTTTACCCCGTTGCAGGGCCCAGGCTGCGGCGACAAGGCGTCCCGAAATGCCAGTCTATTCCGCGAGGTTTAACTTCCTTCTCGCTCACGAACTCCGCGCCCCTGAGCTCTCGGGCACCGTCGCTCCCACTCAAAATCTCCGCGCGCCGCACGCCTCCTCAAGCGGAGGCGGCGAGGATCTTGCTTTCCGTTCGGCGGTCGCCCGGCTGCCCAGCAAACCCGCTCGCAGAAAGGATGGGAAGGAAGGGGGCTAGTGCACCGAGCAGCGGCCGCGGCGGCGGCGCCGGAATTCGGTCTCCCGCCTCTCCACGCCGCGCTCCCCGCAGCGGCCAACGTGGGCTTTCTGCTGCGCGCCCGGCTCAGGTACCTCACTCCAGCCCCGGGACTCCCCGCCCCGCGGTAACCGACAGGCTGGCAGCCAATGGGGACGCGAAGCTCGCGGGCTATTTAAATAGCCCCGCCCCTTCTTTCACCCTCCCTCTCCCGAGAGGCGTCGCCTCCGCCGCGCGTAGGTTTCAAGACCCGGGAATTCTTGGAGGCATGCGAAGAGCCGCGAGGTGCCAAAGGCGAAGAGGTCATCGCTAGTAAGAATGATCTGACCAATACCCCGATCTGAAGCTTTCTCTTTTACCATCATTTAAAAGGCCTAAGTTGATGCTTTAACTAAATAAAAATAATAACAGCGATTAAATCACTATACTGCCAGAACTGAGGAAGAAAAGAAAAATGATAGCTTTTCCATCCCTTCCTTAGTTTCTCTTATTGATGTAATGTAGGCGTTTAGCGGACACGTGGCTTTCCACGGCAGCTGCTGGAAGTTGGGACACACCCTCCGGGGAGGCTACTCACAAACTGACCACAGAGAGGGCCACATGTAACCCAAGCCAGCGTCCTGAGGGTTTGGGGTCGGATGTGTTGACTTCTCTGTTCATTTGTGCTTTGGTTTGGCTTCTTAAGCTAGCACCCAAAAGAAAGAGGGTGTAATCAGACGATATATTAGAAAAGGCGTCCCCTGTCTTCTTGGAAATGTCTTGATTCTCCAGCTTATCTATTAATGTTGCATTTTAATATTGAAATACAATGTGACTTATATGGTGCAAGATAAAACTTGAGGAGAGGTGATAAAGATAACTCCAGGAAGAGCAGGGGCTTGGCATGCATTCTGAATGGTCAGGACAATAGACAGGGTCCTGAAACACAGGTTCCTGTGGATTTTAGACAAGATAACACCACCACCAACACCATTTGCCAATGAGGACACAAATTCATTTGCCTTTACCCCGCCCGAGAACATCCAGTCATCTATGGATCGTAGAAGCAAATTCACGTAAAACATGAAGGTTTTTTACTTGGTGAAAATTGTGTGGAGTTGAAAATAAAAACTGCAATTTTCTGACTTGCCAGCCTTAGTCCAAATGGTCCTAGGCATTTGAGAGTGAAGTCAAATAGATTATAGACTGTGGGATTCATGAATTTATGAGATCATAGGCTTTCTGTTGGTCCAAATCTTATAAGCATTCCTATCCTATTTCCAAGAATCTATTTCTCATGGGTAAATAGAGACCACCACTGACTCCAACTACCCACTGAGTCCTTCTTTCTAGTTCTGCCTTGGCCCAGACACAAGTGGTCATTTAGAAGAGTCTTTATTTCTACAAATATCTGATAGCTATGAATTTCAGGGCACAAAACTTATGTGAATGCCAGTCTTTAACCATCTCTACAGGGATTTCTTCCATCCGAAAAGATAATACGATACTTTGTCTGGGATGCCCGGACCCTCAGAATTCAAGAGCCCTGTCACTTCTTTTTTCTGTAGGGAACATGTTAGGGACATAAATTCACTGCAGTGCCCCACAGCAGCCAAGAGCTCTGCTCAGAAGATCTGAAATTCCAGCAAATACACCTAGGCTTCCTGCCAAGAGCCTCCTTTTTTAAACCTAGTTGCACCTTCCTCATAAGACTTCTGGTGAGATGCAGGCAGAGTAAAAGACTTTCTACCTACGAGGGCAGTGGGGAAGACACAGGAAACTCAACATTTCAAGCATGGATGAGGGCACCTTGGTGGGGCTATGTCATTTAAAACACAAAATCGAGGGGTGACCCACCTATTGTAGAGGTTGAGCATCCCTAACCCAAAAATCTGACATCCAAAATGCTCCAAAATCTAAAGATTTCTGAGAGCTGACATGATGCCTCAGATGGAAAATTCCACACCTGACCTCATAGGATGGGACATGGTCAAAACACAGTCAAAATTTTCATCCACAAAATCATTTGAAATATTGTATTAAATTACCTTCAGACTATGTATATGAGATATATACGAAACATAAATGAATTTCATGTTTAGACTTGGATCCCATCCCTAAGGTATCTCATTATGTATATGCAAATATTCCAAAATCTAAAAATCTGAAATTTGAAATACTTCTGGTCCCAAGCACTTTGGATAAGGGATACTCAACTTGTGTATGCATCTATGGGGTGGACCTAGTGCAGAAGACACACACACACATGCACACACACGCACGCCATCTCTCCCTTTCCTTAGACACTAAGAAGTAGATGGGTTCATGTGACATGAGTCTAAAGTGACTATCAACTAAACATCTGAGCAGCAACTCTGATTCAGGTCTGTTGCAGGCTCCTCACTCCACCAAGATGGATTCTCAGTTTCTGTCGAATGGGGCTAGAATGAGGAGGTGTCGAGAGTACCTCCAGGTGATGAACATGAGAACGCACATCTCCCTTAAGAGCCAGAAGAAGCTCCTAAAAAAACTGTGCAGTGAGACATTACAATGATCATAAGGACAGTGACATCCAACTGAGGATGTGCTCCTCTTCTGTCCACTATGGCTCCCAACATGTGCACATCATGTTTGCGGGACACATGCAGGCAAGCCCTTGTATCCATTGGGACAAAGGGGACAGGAAGAGATACAGTTCTAGGATTTTAATAACCTTGAAATTGGGACTACTCTTTCTCCAAGCCAGTTGGACCTCTAGGTGGATAAAAATCCCCTAACCCCCACCTTGTCTACTCCCTGCTTCTGGGACCCTTCCCCATTAGACAGCCCGAGTGCTCCCCTGGAAGCCTCAGGACAGGGAGCTAGACAACGTCCACATGTGATTCAAGAGGAGGAGGCATGGGGTGGGTGGAGTTGGAGGGACAGGAGCAGATCTGGGCTTTGAAGTCCGCTGGAATGTATGAACCGACTTGATAAAATTAGAGGTAACTTCGCCCCCTGCAGGACACCAAAATATTACCGCCCCTTCCTCTGCGGGCCCGGAACAAGCTTCATGAAGTTCTCTGTGTTTCTAAAACATCTGGGTGGAAAGAGGAGGAATTCGATCAAGAAGCCGGATGTGGGAGCCAATCCAATCAAACATCTGGTTGCTTGGCTGACATTTCATGCAGATGGCCTTCAGTTTTCTGGCAATACGTTGCCTGTCCCATCTCCCTGCCCCACTTAATGAAGAAATGAGGAGCCCTCACCAGAAAGCACAGGTTCATCCCATACTTCCAGTGATAGTGGGAATAGGACGGGAATTCTGTCTCCAAGTGTTTATTAAGGCACCATGTAATTCACGCAACAAATCCTTTAAACCTGTAGTTGTCCTTGTTCCTTATATATTCTGAGGGTTTCTGTTATACATTTATAACACACTTGACCAAATAGCTTCTATTTTGTAAACATGCTGTTTATTAATTTGACATATTAAACACATATTCTATATTACCTTATTAGCAATAAACTGCAACTTCAGTCTTGGATTTTATATTAAATTTTACATTGGTCCCTTTCAACTGCATTTCCTGAAGATGTAAGTTGCTGCTTTTAGAATTAACTTAATAAAAATATCTTGGCCAGGTATGTAATAGCAACACTTTGAGAGGCTGAGGCAGGCAGATCACTTGAGCCCAGGAGCTCGAGATCAGGCTGGGCAACCTAGTAAGACCTTGTTTCTACAAAAAAAAAAAAAAAAAAAAAATACAAAAATTAGCCGGGTGTGGTGGTGCACGCCTGTAGTTCCAGCTCCTCAGGAGGTTGAGGTGGGAGGATCGCTTGAGCCAGGGAGGTGGAGGTTACAGTGAGCCCAGATCACCAGATCACACCACTGCACTCCAGCCTGGGTGACAGCAAGACCCTGTCTCAAAAAAAAAAAAAAAAAATCTTGTAAACTGTGTAGCTGTCATGTTTAAAAGACTGAGGTCTAGCCTCCTTGAATTATTGAGACGTTCCACTCCAAAGACCAACTTTTTATCTTTACTATTAGCATAAGGACCTGAGTACTTCTTAATGTTAATTTCAAAGTATAATAATTCGATCAAATTTTTAAAATATCGATTTAGAGTTGAGTGAAAAGAAAATAGATAAATGGTTGTAAAGTATGAGAAATGAAAATTTGCAAGTGAAATAAGTATTGCTTCTGAAAGCTACACCTGTAAGACAGCCTTCAAAAGACCTGTCTCATCCAAAAGTCTGTGGTAACATTTACATTCAGTCACACTCCGCTTTCACTGTCTACTCAAAAATGCTGGGCATTCACACTTCAAAATATCATTCAAGTCATCATATTTTCCTACTCATGAAGGACATCTGGTGGCAAAGTGAAAAACTAATACATAAATCTGTTTCCAGAGATTTTTTTCCACACCATAACCCAAATAGCAAATCTGTTACTTGTACGTGTTTCAAGCTTTTCACACAAGCTCAGATCTCTATGACCCTAGGATTTAGGCTGTCTACATAATATTAAGCAACAGAATATTTCGAGACATCCAGATGATTAAATCGTTTGTGAAATTTTCATTGAGTAATTAACATGTGCAGACTAAGTCTTCAATTTTTTTTCTGAGCAAAACAATGCTTAACACATTTCCATGACTAGTTTTACTATCCCTGAAGAGTTTTATTCCAAGAAATGATTGGACACTTAGTTAACTGGGGTGCATGAGGCTCCCTGGCCTGTGCTGGCCTCTGAGCTTCAGTCCATTTTGTGACCCCACTCTGTACCTCCTGTCCAGGATGTGTCTCTGTGTCACTAGGAGGTAACATAAAAATATGACATTATCCTGTTAGTAATCCCCTTAACTAGCAAAGCCGTAACCAGTGGCATGTGGAGCCAGGGAAAAGCACACTGGTGGTAAAATCAGGTTAAAATGAAAGTCACTGACAGCTTTTTAAAAAGAAGAGAAAGGCTAATTACCCAGTCTTCATTCATTCATTCAACACATCTTTCCATGCCTATGTGCCAGGCAGTGGTCTAGGTTTTGGGATACCAAACAGAAATCCCTGTCCACATAGATTCTAGATGGGGAAATGGATAGTAAACAAAATAACTAGGAATGTATACTGTGGTAGGCAGGATGTTGGCCCTCATGATTTTTGCCCCTGGTTTTGAAGGGGAAGAGGCCACAGGCCAGGGAATACAGGCAACCTCTGGAAGCCAGCAAGAAAATAGCAACCCCCGTCTTAATTCTGAATTCTTTCAACAACCTGAATAAGCCTAGAAGCAGATTCTTACTTAGAGCCTCCAGATAAGAGCCAGGGCAGGTGACATCTTGATGTCAGCCTGGTGAGACCCAGAACGAAGAAGGGAGCCTAGCCTACTGGTCTTCCAATCTGTGGGACCCTGAGACAATGAACTTGTGTTGTTTTAAGCCACTAAATGTGTGATATTTTGTTTTGACAACAATGGGAAACTAACACATATATAGTAGGGTGGTAAGTGCTGCGGAGAAAATTCAAACAGGGGAGGGGGCTAGGGAGTGTGTGGATGGTCAGGTAAGGCATCACCTCCTGACAGAGAAGACAGCACTTGAGCAGAGACCTGACAGAGTCTGTGGAGCCAGCCATGGGGATACCTTCAGACAGAGCTCTCTAGGCAGTAGAAATGGTAAGTGCAAAGGCCCTGTGGCAGGGGCATGCCTGGTGAGTTTGAGAAGAACAAGAAGGCCAATGAGGCTAGAACAGAGGACATGAGAGGGAATAACAGTAGGAAATTGGATCAGAAAGCCAAGGGAGGGTGGGAATTGGGGCCAAGGTGCTATAGAGTTCTGGACGCCAGACACCTTGGAGGAGATTTGGGCTTTTAAAAAAGCGTGAGATGGCACAACATGGAAAAATCTCACAAACATAACAGTGAGGAAAAGAAGCCAGATAAGAAACAACACATACTGTAATTCTATTTCCACAAAATTCAAAAACAGGCTTACCTAATCTAGAAGACAGCGTAGTGGTTCCCTTTGGAGAGACAAGTGGGAGTATTGATTGAATGACAGCACGTGGGGTTTCCCAACAGTTGGTCTATTTCCTTACCTGGGTGGTGGTTATACAGGTGTAGTCAATTTTAATCATTTCATGAGTGCTACACAGAGGCTCTGTACGCTTTCTGTACGTATGTTACTTTGCAATAAAAACTTTGGTTTAAAAAAATAAGTATGAGAACAACAACAAACAAGTGTGAGATGGGAGGGCTGTTAGATGGTTTCGAGCGAGAAGTGACAGGAGCCAACTTAAATTTTAAGAGTCTCTCAGGTCACTGTGTTGAGAACAGACTATGGAGTTGCCAGGGCAGAATCAGGGACACTAGTCAGGAAACCGTTTATGCTCAGACAAAAAATGATAACGGCTCGTAGGGGACCTCATATGGAAATAGTGAAGGTACAGAAAAGTAGTTGGATTCTGGACACATTTGAAGGCAAACCCCGATGATAAGAGGATGTGCATGTTGCATGGAAAAACAAGCCATGCAACAACTTCTCCTTCTGTAGAGGTCCCTCCCACTGCACAAAGCCTGGGGTAGTAGTGTGAATTTACTATGGCTGAGGAAGATCGTGTTCATGCACTAATGACTGTGGGTTAATATGCTGACCATGCCAAAAAGTGGCTTGGAGGAGCTTTGGCATCAGCACCCACACTACAAAAAACCACTCATAATACTCATAATAAACAGAGGGCTTGCCGGGAAAGAACAGCTTCAAGACAAGTCCCCTAATAGCCTTCCCACAAGATTCCCTCTGTAGTAACATAATAGCTCCATCTCTGAACATAAAATTTCTTCCAAGATATGAAGTTTAGCCATTAAGTATTCATTTTCTATTTTTTTTTTTTTTTTTTTTTTGAGACGGAGTCTCGCTCTGTCGCCCAGGCTGGAGTGCAGTAGTGCGATCTCGGCTCGCTGCAACCTCCGCCTCCTGGATTCATACCATTCTTCTGCCTCAGCCTCTCAAGTAGCTGGGACTACAGGTGCCCGCCACCACACCCGGCTAATTTTTTGTATTTTTAGTAGAGATGGGGTTTCACCATGTTAGCCAGGATAGTTAAGTATTCATTTTCAAAGGACTCCTATAAATGTGGTATCCTGGATGAGTTATTGAAGGAAAAATAAGAACTTTAAGAAAAAGCTAATCAAATTGAAATAAAGTATGGAGTTTACTTAGTAATGCTATATTAATGTTGATTCATTAATTATGATGTAAAATGTCATGTTATAATAATAGGAGACACTGGGTGTAAGATATACAGGAACTCTCTGTACTATCTTTGCAATTTCTCTGTAGATTTAAAATTATGCTAAAATTAAAGCTAATTTTTTAAAAAAACATTCTTGTAGCTTTAATCTTAAGATGTAATAATTCAAGCTCAGTTACCTCCTTTGCTGTAGAAAGTAATACATGCTTGGGCCAGGCACGGTGGCTCACACCTGTAATACCAGCACTTTGGGAGGCCAAGGCAGGCAGATCACCTGAGGTCAGGAATTCAAGACCGGCCTGGCCAACATGGTGAAACCCTGTCTCTACTAAAATTACAAAAATTAGCCGGGTGTGGTGGTGGGCATCTGTAATCCCGCTACTTGGGAGGCTGAGGCAGGAGAATTGCTGAAACCTGGAAGGCGGAGGTTGCAGTGAGCTGAGATCACAGCATTGCACTCCAGCCTGGGTAACACAAGTGAGATTCTGTCTCAAAAAAAAAAAAGTAATACATGCCTTTATTCCAATTAGATTAGTAATGACAAAATTATATCGCTAAGTTTTTACTCAGGATTGAATTTATTAATCTATATTAAATCAATTATTACTAAAGCCAAGCTTCTTAGCTCCCAATTTACTGTTTCCTTACACATTGTCTCAAGCCACTTAGTGTTGAGTTTTTCCATAATTCATTTTTAACTCAAAATTATGGGATTACCTAAAGATGTTAAATTTCATGTCAACTTTTCTCGCCTTCCTGTAAGTTACTTGCACGTTGTTTTTAGGATTCCACTTTGATTGACTGATTGATAGCATTTTTTAGTTATCTTTTTGTATAGCTTTCATACTGGTTGCTCAGGTTACTAAAATATGCATTTGTGACTTATCACAGTCTATTGGTATCAACATATTTCTACATATTTCTACCTCAGTTGAGGTTCAATTCACTTAGTTCCCTTTACTTTCCCACTATTGAATATTATTATCTCATTGTCTTGCATATAAGATGGTGTTATATTTTTGCTTCAATCATCAAATATGATTTTTTTTTTTTTGAGACAGGGTCTCTCTCTGTCGCTCAGGCTGGAGTGAAGTGGCATGCTCATGGCTCACTGCAGCCTCGACCTCCCAGGCTCAAGCTATCCTCCCACCTCAGCCTCCCTAGTAGCTGAGACTATAGGCATGCACCACCACACCTGGCTAATTTTTGTATTTGTTGTAGAGATGGGGTTTTGCCATGTTGCCCAGGCTGGTTTCAAACTCCTGGGCTCAGGTGATTTGCCCAAACTTGGCTTCCTAAAGTACTGGGATTACAGACATGAGCCATCATGCCTGGCCTAAATATGATTTCTAAAACTCAAGAGGAAATTCATATTCGATTGTATGTACCAATATTTCTGCCCTTTAAATTCTTCCTCCTTCCGTCCTGATGCTCCAAGAGTCTTTCTTTTATCATTTTCTTTCTGGATGAAGAATTCTCTTTAGCCATTCTTTTTTTTTTTTTTTTTTTTTTTTTTTTTTTTTTTTTTTTTGAGACGGAGTCTCGCTCTGTCGCCCAGGCTGGAGTGCAGTGGCGCGATCTCGGCTCACTGCAAGCTCCGCCTCCCGGGTTCACGCCATTCTCCTGCCTCAGCCTCCCGAGTAGCTGGGACTACAGGCGCCCGCTACCACGCCCGGCTAATTTTTTGTATTTTTAGTAGAGACGGGGTTTCACCGTGTTAGCCAGAATGGTCTCGATCTCCTGACCTCGTGATCCGCCCGCCTCGGCCTCCCAAAGTGCTGGGATTACAGGCGTGAGCCACCGCGCCCGGCCTCTTTAGCCATTCTTTAAGGGTAGGTACACCAGCAACAAAGTCTTTTAGTTTTCTTTTGTCTAAGAATTAGCTTATTTCTCCTTCATTCTTGAAGGATAGCTTCACTGGATATAGAATTTGCAGTTGACAGTTCTTTTCTTTCAGTTCTTGAAAATGTTGTGCCACTTTGTTTGGCCGCCATGGTTTCAGATGAGAAATCTACCATCATTCTAATTGTTTTTCCCTAGGAAGTAACGAATTGTTTCTCCCTGGCTGCTTTCAAGACTTCTTTACTTTTAGTTCCCAGAAGTTTAATTATGATGTGTCTTCACGTGGATTTCTTTGGGTTTATTTCGTTCAGGATTTGCTCAGCTTCCTGAACATGTACGTGTGTGTTTTTCAAAAAATGTGGAGTTTTCAGCCATTATTTATTCAAATACTCTTTGAGTCTGATTCTCTTGCTCCTCTCCTCCTGAGACTCTGACAGTAAATTGTTGCATCTTGTGTTATTGTTCTACATTCCTGAGTTTCTATTGATTCCCCTCAACACACACTGCCCCTCCCATCTATTTTCTCTGTGTTTTTCTGATTGGACGAATTCTATTGATATGTTCTGAAGTGCGCTGATTCTGTTCTCTGTCGTCCCACTCTATGATTGAGCCTATCCAGAAGATTTTTTTCCTTCTGTAATTATATTTTTTTCAGTTCTATAATTTCCATTTTTTTATTATTATTATTATACTTTAAGTTTTAGGGTACATGTGCACAATGTGCAGGTTAGTTACATATGTATACATGTGCCATGCTGGTGTGCTGCACCCATTAACTCGTCATTTATCATTAGCTATATCTCCTAATTCTGTCCCTCTCCCCTCCCCCCCATAATTTCAATTTTTTTAATCGCTTCTGTTTCTTTGCCGAGATTTTCTACTTTTTCATTTGTGTGAAGACAATTTGTAATTAAATGTGGAAGCATTTTTATGACAGCTGCATTAAAATTCCTGATGATTTGGATAATGTGGGATAACGCCTACATCTGATTGTTCTTGGTGTTGACGTCAGATGATTGTCTTTTTTTAAACTTTATTCTTTAGAGTATTTATGTTTATAGAAAAATTGAGAGGAAGGTGCAGAGAGTTCCCATATACTCCCTGCCTCCCCTACATGTATACTCTCTTCCATCATCAACATCCTGCACCAGAAGTTACAACTGAGTAACCTACACTGACACATCATAATCACCTAACGGCCGTAGTTATATTAGGGTTTATTCTTGGTGTTGGACAGTCTACGGATTTGGACAAATGTGTAATGACATGTATCCACCATTATAGTATAACACAGAGTAGTTTCACTGCTCTAAAACTTCTCTGTGCTCCACCCATTCACCCTTCCCTCCTCCCCACCATCTGACAACCACTGATCTTTTTACTGTCTCCATAATTTTGCCTTTCCAGAAGGTCATCTAATTGGAACAATACAGTGTATAGTCTTTTCAGATTGGCTTCTCTCACTTAGTAATATGCATTTAAGTTTCCTCCATGTTTTTTCATGGCTTTATAGCTCATTTTTTTAGCACTGAATAATATTTCATTTTTTGGATGTACCATAGTTTATTTATTCATTTATCTAGTGAAGGACATCTTGATTGACTCCAAGTTTTGGCAGTTAGGAATAAAGCTGCTATAAACATCTATGTGCAAGTTTTTGTGTGGATATAAATTTTCAGCACCTTTGGATAAAAACCAAGAAGTGTGATTGCTAGATCATATGGTAGGAGAATGTTTAGTTGTGTAAGAAACCATCAAACTGTCTGTCACAGTGGTTGGCAGCAATAAGTAAGAGTTCCTGTTGCTCCACATCCTCATCAGCTTTTGGTGTTGTCATTGTTTGAATTTTGGCCATTTTAACAGGGATGTAGTGGTGTCTCATTGTTGTTTTAATTTGCATTTCCTTGATGACTTAATGATGTGAAGAGTTGATTGTCTTTACTCATTTAAGTTGGGAAGTTTTGGTTCTTGGTATGAAGGTGATTTTTTATTGTATCCTGGATGTTTTGTCTATCATGTTAACAGTCTCGGAGTTATATTTACATATTGTATTTTATCAGGCAGTTGTCCTTTTTAGGTTCTGCATGCAGGTCCTGGCCTAATTTTGTGGGTGATGGTTCCAAAGGCAATTTAATTTCCTGAGGCTTTGTGTTGTTATCTTGGTCTGCTTGGTTTCTCTGCTGCTGTTGGGGTTCCCACTGATTCCTGCTGGTGCTGCCTGAAGAGACAGAAGGGCCTTCCCCAGCCCAGGCCACCAGGTGTCTTTTGATAGGAGAGGGGAGTCAGGCCCTCAGGGATGAGGGGCTTCCCTGGAGTCAACTTCTAAATACCCAGATAATTTACTGTCCAGGGAGAATTTACTATCTACAGATCATATTATTAATTGCAGTAAAATTTTAGTCCCAGGACAGTTTCCTCTAATGACTATGTAATGAATGCAGTCACTATTTCTCTGCATTGATGAGTACATGCTGATTTTTCCTTTTACTTGAATAAAATACATTCAATATGCCAAATCTACTCCAATAAGATCCATATGGTATATTCCATATAAGTAGAAACTACTGTTTGGGCTTTTAGATGGTATTATTTTCCCAAATTTGCTATGGAGGCTTGTGAGTTTACTCTATAAACGAATGAATGGGGTAGAACAGGTAACACATAGCTAACTTTTAAGTCACTCCTCAGATATCCAGTCTGATTTGTACAGGTGAGAATCCACCACACCCCACTTTCCATCTAGCCAAAAATCCAGACTGTAAGCTCTGTTGTATCCCAGCACATAGCACAGTGCCTGGCACACAAAAAGGTGCTAAACAAATATTTGTTTAATGATGGAATTTTATTCATTAAGCCTTGAGTAGAGAAACAGAACACATAGGCCATCTTTCTGATGGCATACTTCCTCTACCATGAGAAGGCTGCGAAACGTAGGAAAGTGTGTGCATTTTTAATGATTAAACTACATTGTATCCAATGATAATAAATAGTAAATTATCCACTAAACATAACAAAAATGTCAGGACTTTAAAATTATATTATTCTCTTCCCATACAGACATTAGCATGGGATGACAGAAGCTAATTTTAGGAGTCACCTCTACTGCTTAAATGTGTATAAATCACACTCCTAAAAATGAGACTTTCATACCGAAATAAAACTGAAATTTGCCAATACACCTCAGAGTAAAATGTTATTTAAGGATTAGTAAAACATTTATTTTCCTAGCATGTGAATAGGACACTTGTTCTCATAATTTTCCTTCACGTCCTTCTCCAGAACTGAATCTTCTGGCATCTGGAAGAGATTCTTTCAAATGCATTCATACACCTGCTTCAAATTCAGACTCCCCAGCATTGGTTAAAGGGAGCTCTTCCAGATGATGCCAGAAGGATGGGGCTGCGGTCACCAGGGCACACTTTGCTAAGGAAAGAGTGGGGTCTGTCCCTGTCATCTGAAATGAACCAAAGGAAAAGAAAGATGCTACTTGAATCCAATTAATAAAGTGATGTTATTATCACTTACAAGTTTAGGAAAGTGTGTGCCCCATGTCAACCATTTACAATAATTACCTTTGCCCTAGGTCATTTTCTCTTACCTTTTAGCAGAGACGCTCAAGAAACATTCTTTGTAAGACTATGTTCTTTCCTACTGTAAGTATGTTTCACTCAGCAAAATCTCAGGGCCTCAAAGGGGCACTTCCCAGAGAAGCTCAGACTTGGCTTCAGGTTGCGGCAGGTTCCAGAGGGAGGCAGCTGGCAGCAGTCAGGGGCCTGGGTTTCATGCCTGAGCCAGGAAAAGAGTTTCCTTCTTCTCATCCAAGGGCCAGAAGAGGGCTGCTGTCAAGGACCCTCAGAACACCATTAGGCAAACATGCGTGGAGCACTTGCTGGGTGGACCCCAGGCACTATAAAGCAGGCCTGGGGTTTTAGTGATGAAAAGATAAGGCCCCTGACCTCAATGAGTTTACAGGCTATCATGGAGAGGGACGTACAAGGAACTCTCAACACCATAGCAACTGCTCCAGTGGAGGCACATAAAATATATAAATAACATATAGGAGAGGGGAATCCGTGGGTCAGTCTGGGAAGGAATCTGGGAAGGCTTCATGGGCTGGGAAGGTTGTTAAAGAGGCAGATTTGAATTGAGACCTGGAGCATGAATGTGAGACTGTGAGATTGTTTGGCTACTCAAATATTTTTTGAATACTTTTTAAGTGCTTGGTGCTGGGTATACAAGTGTGAACAGAGCATACTTGGTCTCTGTCTTTATGGGGTTTACAGTCTAATGAGGTGAGCAATAAATAAACAATGAATAAATCTAACATTACTTATTTTGGTAAATGCATGAGCCAGCCATGGGGAAATAAGGAGGCAACGCATTTCAAGCTGAAGGAATAGCATGTGCAAAGGCCTGGAAATGATAGAGACTTGGTGGGCTTCAGAACTGCTGAAAGCTAATATAGCTAACACATAGTAAGTGCAGGGTGAATGGGGGTGATCTGAGGCTGGCATGATCAGCAAGAGACGTATCATATGTGACCTTGAGAAATTTAGATTTTCAAAGGATAGAGGGGTGGCACCAAAGGGTTTTCACCAAGAGAAATATAAGCCAATAAATTATTTTAAACTATTTAATTGGCTTCTTTGCAGAGCATAAAAGCAGGAATGTCAATGGAGAGCTACTCTAGTGAGCCAGGTGACAGAAGATGGCTTAGATTAGGACGGAAATAGTGGAATATATTGGACATATATTTAGAAAATAGGGAAATTACAGGACTTGGTGGATAGATTGGAATCGAAGATTGAGGAAGAGGAGGAACCAAGGATTTATACTTGAGCAAACAAGTTGGCTGGTAGCTCCATTTATGGAGGCAGGGAATTCTAGAAACAAGTTAGGGAGAGGGAAGTTAGAAAACCCGGAAGTTCTATTATAGACATTCAGTCTGAGGTCCCTTTCAGATATCCAAATGGAGTTATCAAGTAAACAGTTAAAGAACCCATTCTATAGTTCAGAGGATGTATTGGCTGAATAAGTTAACTTCAGGTTCATCCACATCTAAGTGGTTCTTAAAACCCCAGAAATGAATGAGATCACTTGTGGAAAGAGGGAAGACACAGGCTGAGCCCTGAAAAATACCAATATTTAGAACGTGGATAGAAGGGAAGCCAACAAAAGAGTCTAGAAGGGAGGGACCAGAGTCATTAGAAAAAAAATATGTAGCCACATAAGTGTGGTGTCATGGAAACCAAGAGAGAAGGAAAGAAACGGCCAATCATGTTGAATGTCATCAAGGACAGATGAATGCTCTTTGGATACAGCAACATAGAAATCATCGGTGATCTTGACAAAACTAATTTCAATGAAGTGATGAGGCAGAAGCATGATTAAGGCAAATCAGTGAATGGGAATTGAGGTGTTGAGAGAACATGTAAAGGCAACTTGCTCAAAGAGGTTTACGTACAAGGGAGCAGAATAATGAGATGATGGCTCAAGGAGAACAAGGAGGCCTAGGGACATTTTTATTTGTGATAGGTGAGGGCAGAAAGAAGGGCAATTTGTCAGTGATAACAACAGGAAAGAAGATAATGGCTGAAGATAAAGAAGATTTGAGACTTAGTTGGAAACAGATAAAAGAAAACCTTACCTCCTATTCTTAAAGAGTAAGAGGCCAGGTCACTGGGTGAGACTGGGAGTTATGGAGAAAAGAGTGGAGGGAAGGGAGTGGTATGGGAGAGAGGATTTAGTAGCCACTAGGATGACCTGCGGTGATCCCCACCTTCTGTTATTCATGAATTTGTGCAGTCTCCTCCTCTTGAGTGTGGGCTGGATGTGCTAACTCACTTCTAATGAATAGAACATGGTAGGAGTGATGGGATGTCCCTTTTGAGATTAGGTTATGAAAAAAATGTGACTTTTCTCTTTGGCACTTTCTCACTCACTCATTCTGAAGGAAGCTAGCCACAGTGTTGTGAGCTGCCCTGTAGAGAGGCCCACCTATTACAGAGGGAGACCTTTAGCCAACAGTCAGCATGGAGCTGAGGCCCTCAGCCCAACAACTCATGAGGAACTGAATCCTGCCAACAACCACATGAGGGAGCTTGGAAGAGATCTCCCTTCACTTGAGTCTTCAGATAAGACTGCAGCCCAAGCTGGCACTTTGACCATAAACTCATGCGAGACGTGGAGTCCTAGAATCTCAGCTGAGCTGCATCCAAATTCTTGACTCTCAGACACCATGAGATAATACATGCTTGTTGTTTTAAGCTGTCAGATTTTGGGGTGATTAGTTATACAGCAATAGAAAACTAATATAGAGGAAAAAGCAAAGAACAGAAATCTTGAACAACAAGAAATTCAGTTAACTAAAGAACTATTGACAAACAGTATTAAATAACTGGTTTATTTAGAAGTATTAACTTGGGGGGGTCAAAATGTAAATCATGTTATATTTTTCTCCAATCTGTGCATTCAACTGTACTCTCTCTCAAATCCCTATTTCCCATCTCTTAACACATTGGGGAAGATTTAGTAAGTTGCCACTCGCTTTCAGTTTAAAAGTCCATACTATTTAACCGTCTGATTTCTTCATTAAAACATCTGACTACGATTTTGAAGGAATATCCCAAACCCATTGTTTGGGCCACGACTTGGGTAATCAGTGCTATAAACCACACAATGGGTCACAGAGGGTATCTCACAGAATAGTACAGCTCCTTAAGTTATTTTTTAAAATTCTGCCAAAACAAAGCAACAATCTCACACTACTTTTATTTTCTCTAGAAGGCATTTAAAGTACAACTATAAGAAAAATATTTAACTGCATTATAAAGTTGTGTGTTTCTTAATTCTTGATAGCCTGCCTTTAAAAAATGCTGTGATTCATCAGAAAATGCTGGGAATCACTGAGTTTGATCGGCTGGTGCATGAATCCACAGCGTTCCATCTGCTTACTGGTGAATATAAATGTTTCTTAATTTACTATTGCCTTGAGGTACACCTTGATTTTGATTTGATGATCATTGATTTATATTAGATATCTTGTTCAAAATTTCAACCCTTTTGATATGTTATTCTTCCTTTAATATCTCTTATGTTTAAATGGATATTGCTATGGTCTGAATGTTCATGTTCCCCCCAAATTTTTATGTTAAAATCCTAACCTCCAAGGTAATTGGGAGTGAGGCCTTTTGGGAGGTGATCAGTTATGAGAGCAGAGTCCTCATAAATGGGATTAGTGCCCTTGTAAGATAGGCCCGGGGGAGCTCATTCACTCCTTGGACCAATTTAGGACACAGCTAGAAGGTGTCATCTATGATCCTCATTAGATAAATGCAAACCCTTATTAGACAAAAATCTGCTGGTGCCTTGATCTTGGAATTCCCAGCCCCAAGAACTCTGAGAAATATATTTCTATTGTTTATAAGCTACCCAGTTTATGGTATTCTGTCATAGCAGCCTGAAAGAACTAACACAGATATGAATACATTTGGAATGATTTCTTAGAGGAATTAACTAGTCAGTGAGCCAGTATTTCACTACATTAGTCCAAGTTTGCAAAATATCCTGTGTGTCCTTGCTAATTTTGTATCATTTTATCATATCAGTATGTTCTGATTTAAGAAAGCCTAGGATAGGTTGGCCTATAGAAACTCTCAAGCACCAGAATCATTTAATTTTATCTTTCCAAGTCCTTTCTTGATGCCTAAAACTCTGTGTGTGTGTTTGTATGGGTGTAGGGCACATGCACACATGTGCAATTTAAACCTCTTCTTCCGTTCTGTACCCTCCCATGCCAGCACCTTGACTTGGACAGAAGAGTGTGATCTAGTCATGGAACACCTGCTTCTCCTCCCTCTCCTGAGTCTGCCTCTGGCAAGGATGAAGACTGGAGGAAACATACAGGAAACCTGAGGCTATGCTGAGCATCTGTTGTCCCACTAGTGATGGTGATGGGATGCATCTCTGGTCCACTCTGGTTCAATCTGATGCTGGTGCCCTCTACTGATATGGTGGTCTCTACAAACGCAGCATGTGTGGTTTTAGGGGGCGAGTTCAGGCTCACCTCTGCCTTCCCCATCCTTGATGACCCCTTCAGAAAGGGGCAGCCATGTGTCTGGTTCTGACAGTGGCCCATACTCTCAATCTCCTCTCAAAGTTGGTCCTGTTTTTGCCTCAGATGTCTCCTAATTACTCTCCTTTCTGTTTCTCACCTAACTTCTGTGCTCAATACCCATAGAAGTCTCTGAAGTCATTTTCCACGTACCCCGAAGGCCAAAGAGAACTGAAATGAGATCTCTTCATTTAAAGCAGGGGTGTCCAATCTTTTGGCTTCCCTGGGCCACACTGGAAGAAATTGTCTTGGGCCACACATAAGATATACTAACACTGGGCTGGGCGCAGTGGCTCACGCCTGTAATTCCAGCACTTTGGGAGGCCAAGGCGGGCAGATCACGAGGTCAGGAGATCGAGGCCATCCTGGCTAACACGGTGAAACCCCGTCTCTACTAAAAATACATGAAATTAGCCGGGCATGGTGGCTGGCGCCTGTAGTCCCAGCTACTCGGAGGCTGAGGCAGGAGAATGGCGTGAACCCAGGAGGCGGAGCTTGCAGTGAGCCGAGATAGCGCCACTGCACTCCAGCCTGGGCAACAGAGTGAGACTCTGTCTCACCAAAAAAAAAAAAAAGATATACTAACACTAACGACACTAACGATAGATGATAAGTTTAAACAAATTCATAAACAAATCTTATAATGTTTTAAGAGAGTTTATGAATTTGTGTTGGGCTGCAGGCAAACCTGTCCTGGGCCGCATGTGGCCCATGGGTTGGGCAAGCTTGATAAAACACACTAAACTGTGTGTTTCTTACTCCCTTTCCTGGCAAGGGCTATTCCAGAAAGACTCATGCCTTAGAGTTCCAGGCAGAGGAGGCATCCATTTCTACATACATACATGTGTACTCCTAAACTCCCACGACACATGTCAGGCTCCCCCAGGAATCCCTTCCCCAGGCTCCCCTCTGCTCTTTGGCAGCACAAGAGTGGGCCAATAGGTTTCCAGCTTCATGGGCATGCAGTCAGGGAGCGTGACACCGGCCTTCCCTTCTTGTGATTCATCTCTGCAAGTGATTCTCTTGCTGCTCACCACACACACTCGGCTTTAAGGGCAACAGCCCTCCCTACCCCATGGTGAGGAAGTGGAAAAGCCATGCATTCCCCCACCAGGCCAGTGACAACTGACTCCAGTGATTCCCTCTCTCTACCCTCCTTGGGAACACAGGGAAGGATAAGAGTCATGGCTGAGGGTTGTAAGGAAATTGTGCAGACTCTTTAGTAATCCTTGATGGAGTGTCTGACTCTAAATGTGGGCAGTTTCTGGTACTTATTGTCTCTCTAGCCTCCATTTTGGACCTCCAGGTACCGAGCCAGGAAAATGGCAAATGTTTCACCAAGTGTGACAAACAAGCATGGGAGGATATTCCAGGGGATGGGAACGGCATATGCAGAGACCAAGAGGCATGCAAGATCATGGTTATTGAGAAGTAGATCAAAATGCTTCATTGGCAAGGGCTCCAAGACCTGGGTCCCAAGTGTAGGCCTGGTTGTAAAGACACCTCTGTGTCCTTCTAAAAGGGTAAAAATTATGTGCCATAGGTGAGACAGAGTCACTGAAGAATTTCTTGCAAAGAGGTGACAAGACAATCTGCATGCTAGAAAGGTGATTCTATTGACATTGTGGCGGGTAGATTATGGAGATGAATCTAGAAACAGGAGGGAAGGAAAGAAGGGTGTTACTAATGTTTCAGATGAGAGGGGAGAAGCCCCTGTACTAGAGTGATGGCAGTTGTGTTGTGGGAAGCAAACAGAGGTGAGGGGTGTTTAAGATACACACTGGATGAGGCTTTGTGATTAATTAGATGTACAGGAAAATAGAGAAGGAGAAATTGACAATGATCCATTGGTTTCTGACTTGAGGAACCTGGTGAACAGCAGTGACATTTGCAAAAACAGAGTTCAGCAGAAGATGATGAGGTCAACTTTGAACATATGAAGTTTGAGGCCTTTATAGAACACACACACATGGAGCTGCCTAGTTAGACAGGAATAGCCCTCAGGGTCAGCCTGGCTGGAGACATGAATTTGACTCAGGACAGAGTTTCGAGGGACCTATGATGTTTTAGGAGTGAGAGGAGGAAGAGGAACCCACAAAAGAGACTAAGAAGAATTTGCCATTGAGATAGGTGGGAAACTAAGGAGAGAATAGGCCCATAGAATTCACCAAGCAGGAGAGAGCGCAGTGGAAATAATACAGGACAAATCAAGTAAGATGGCAGTTGGAGAGTTTCCACCGGCTGTAGCCACCAGAAGGTCATTTGAGAGCCCGGGGGGTGCAGCTGCAGAGAGGTAGAAGCTGGCATTTAAGGCGCCGAAGAGTTCACGGAAAGGGAAGAAAGAGAGAGGCAGAAGAAGTAGAAGGCCTGCTGTGAAGGAAAGAAAGAGATAAGAAAGCCGGAGGGGTGCAGGGTCAAGGAAGGAAGGTGTGTGTGGGCAAGGGGTGGGCAGGTGGTTCCACTTTAACTCAGAGAAGTGACCTGAGAGTGACTCTGTGAGCTTCCTGCAGCTGTGTGCTCTGAGATGACGGTGAGTTCCAGAGAGGCACACTTCTAAACTGGTCATGGGACTCACTGTACTTTACTTACCAGCCTTCTGAACTATGTAACACTGCAGTGGAATTTAGCAGCCAGAAACTAAATCTCCAACGTCTAAATTCCAGTTCTTTGTCTCCGTCTCTACCTTTGCTACCAATAAAAGAAATACAGAAGCCAGGAAGGCCATGTCAGTGCTGTGGAAGTGCCATGGATTCCAGGGGTTCCCCTTGTGGCATCATATTCACATCGAATATTTTGATAGAAATCGTAAGCATTTCAGAAAGCATGCCCAATTCAATTATTAATCATCTGAATCAACCAATAACTCTTCCAATAGTCTCCCAAAACTAGATGAACCCCATACACTGCAGGGCTAAATGCTGCTGAGGAAAAATACCCAGTACGGGGACTGGTGTCAAGATCATCTTCACCCATTTCCAAGGACACTGCCTAGCAAGCTCTCTCTTCATCTCCACACTAAGGCCATATCATCGATCCAGACAGCCTCAGTCTGCCCAACCCCAGCTCTCCTCTTGCCCTTCACTCTGACCCCACTTCATGCTTCCTAAAGGCAGGGGAAAAAAAACAACCATTGGAATGAAATGTCTTCATCTTCCCAAACCAAATCTGTAAACCCATCTTCTCCGCCTTTCCTTCTTGTTACCACAATGGAAGTGTCTCTCTTATCCCAGGAGCAGCGTAAAACAGTGTAAAATGCTCTGCATGCATTCTGGCCACATCTTCTTGTGACTGCCCAAGGGCTTTCCTTCTTTGATTAGCTGACAGTGTATGTCTGTCTGAGATTCTTTTTCTCACACACCACCACTGCCACCATCATCAATCTCTCCTTCACTGATGAATGACTTTCATTATTGTGCCCAGATACTTCAGCGTGCTCCACTTTCAAGATCGTCCCTTCAGGCCAGGCATGGTGGCTCAGGCCTGTAATCCCAGCACTTTAGGAGCCTGAGGTAGGAGGATGGCTTAAGCCCAGGAGTTTAAAGCCAGGCTGGGCAACAGAGGGAGACCCTGTCTCTACAAAAAATAAATAAAACCAAAAACTTAGCCAGGTGTGGTGGCACACACCTGTGGTCCCAGCTACTCGGGAGGCTGAGGTGGGAGAATCACTTGAGTCCTGGAGGTCGAGGCTGCAGTGAGCCATGATCGTGCCACTGCACTCCAGTCTGAGCAACAGAGCAAGATCTCATCCCAAAAAAACAAAACAAAACAAAACAAAAAAACGAGAAAACACCACCACCACCACTTTCCTTCAATTCCCTGCCCTATGTACACCCTGTCTTTAGTCTGTTCAGGCTGCTATAACAAAAATATCCTAGAGCTGGGTGCAGTAGCCCACGCCTATAATCCCAGCACTTTGGGAGGCTGAGGTGGGTGGATCTCCTGAGCTCAGGAGTTCGAGACCAGCCTGGCCAACATGGTGAAACCCCGTCTCTACTAAAAATACAAAAAAAAAAAAAAAAAGAATTAGCTAGGCGTGGTGGCGGGCACCTGTAATCCCAGCTACTAGGGAGGTTGAGGCAGGAGAATTGCTTGAACCCAAGGGGCAGAGGTTGCAGTGAGCCGAGATCGTGCCACTGCAATCCAGCCTGGGCAACAAAAGCGAAACTCCGTCTCAAAAAAACAAATAAAAAACAAAATATCCTAGACTTGGGTGGTTTCTAAACAACAGAAACTCACAGTTCTGAAGGGTAGGAGGTCTAAGATCAGGGCACCAGCGGACGCCTCGGTGTCTGGCGAGGACCTGCTTCCTGGTTCGTAGACCGCCATCTTCTCACGGCCAGCACACACGGTGGAAGGGACAAACAAGTTGCCTTGGGCCTGTTTTATAAGGTTACTAGTCCCACTCAAGGGCTCTCTCTTGCAACCTAAGCACCTCCCAAAGACCCCATCTTTTAATATTATCACCTTGGGGGTTAGGATTTCAACAGATGAATTAGGGAGGAACATAACCATTCAGACCGTCCAACACCCTCTCCATCTTTCCCGTTCCCTTGACAACTAAATTCCTATTAAGTGGGTCTGCCAGTAGTGTCTCCAGGTCAACTCACCCCAACTAGCTTCCACCCCACACCCTGTGGGGTCATCACTGGCCCCCCGTTGTCAGGTCCAAGAGCTGCTTTGGAAGCTTCTCATGGCATGGTTTTGAGGGAGTCCTCCTCTTCCAGGTCTATCCTATCCCTTCTTCCAACTCCTCGCCCCTCCTTTTTCCAGCAGCAGGCATGATGGTCTTAAAATGTAAACTGTACCGCTCCTCAAAAAATGTTAATAGCCTCCCCACATTCAGCAGCCTCAAAATCATTCATCATCCGCTGTGCTCTTTTAACATCTGGGCTGCTTCCATCTCCTAGAGGTCCCAATGTCTCTGCCTCAGGCACTTGGCACACTTTGTTTGCTCCATCTAGAATGCTCTTCCCTCGCCTCCCCAACCCTTCACCCAGCTGTATCCTACTTCAAGGCTTAAATGCCACTTCCTTCAAGAGGCCTTCCCTGTCTAAATTGAGTTCCCAGGTAATCAACTCTCACAGCTCCCTCCAAAGTTTGTTTTAGTATGTACCATCGATTTAAACATTTATCCATTTGTGTGTGATTGTTTAATGGGCATCTTGCTGAGAACTCCATAACCTTCAAGAGGGCAGATGATACCTTCCATACAACTTATACCACGCGCATTTTCACCCCAGAACCCAGAATTATTTGTGGCTCCCAGGAGTTACTGAACAAATACCTGTCGAATAAAAGAAATTACTATTTTGAAATAAAATTAATTTGCTGAATAAAGTGAATAATTATTTTGAAAAACCTTGTCTAATTTTAAAATTCAATTATATTCTATCATATCGTTTGCAAAAATTCTTGTTTTCAGAAAAAAAAGTTAGAAAAAAATTCTTCCTTTTTCTGATCACAGGTCCCTATGATGTCGTGGAAAGGATGTCACCCAGCTAAACACACAGGCAGACAGCCCTGGCTCTGCCCTCTGAGTCAGAGTTTTCTCATTTGTAAAACAGGAGTAACAATCATACCTAACTAGTACTAATGGAATTATTGTGATGATTGAATAACGACAAAAATAGGAAACATGCTTTGCAAACTGGAAAGTGCTAAGTAAACATAATATGATGATGATGCTGTTTAATTCTTTAGAAAAGGATGTTTTCCTCATCAGTTTTTCTTAAAAAGAAATAAGCCAATTAGTTGCTTAAGTACTGCAAAAATATGTAGCAGCCACCTGCTTCTACTTGACATCTATTTTTTCAATTCATTTAGAAATACACACTGCACACTCCATTGAGAAGAAATTGAGACAGGTCTCTATTTTTTAAAAGGAGCATTTTTGATGCAATAATTGGATCAGCTTATTGAGAACATCATACTGGGATATGAATTCACATAGAATTTAACTTGTTGACAAAAGCAAGAAATATCAAAAGTCGAATGAACAAAAATCTTAAACAAAAGGATTCCTTTGTAACAGTTAGACTAAGAAGCTATCTAGCTCCAAAGTTCAGGGTATTTGGGAGAAAAAATAGGGCCTGTTTCCTTGCAGGAGTCTTTTTAAATTGTGAACTTTTTAAGCCCTAAAATATGGTTACATAAATATACATCAGCCTCCCTTGGAGAAGAACTTAGTTATGAAACTGGTAAAAAGTCTAAATAAGTGAATTTTTTAGTTCAGCCACCGATTATCCAAGCAAGTTTCACTTGAGGAAATTGTCCACACCCTTTTTACTCACAATCCCTGCTTCTCTTCCCTTAAATGCCTCATAGAATATTCCTGCTTCAACCAAAGAGGGGAGCATTTGGAAGTCAGATTATTTCTAGTCTTCTGTAAGCTTTAAAGGGTATCAGCTGTTTCTTTCAAAAACTATGTTTTATACATGTTAGTATGCCTAACATTACATTTCTTCTAAAATAAGGTATTGATTTAGATGTGCTTTTTAAAAAATAACTTACTAATTCAGAAAGATTATCCTTCAACACTATATATTCATTCCTTTATAAAGCTGACAAAGTCACTCAATAGACCAGCATAATAGTTTATTTTTGCTGACATTTTTCCTGTTTTACACGACCATGGGTATATAAGCCCTACCACCATCTCCATGTATCCTCTTGATGTCTAAAACATGCTTTGTAACTGTTAAATATGTGATTAAACTGTCAAAAGTATATGGAGGCAGCTGCATAAATTTTGAAACCAAAGTCAAAGTTCTATTTGTTCTATGACTGTGTGAGTGTTGCAAACTTTACAGCATTATGGAAAGTTAAAAACCCCACCCCAACATCTTTTTTTAAAACTTATGCTATAATAATTTCTTCCAAAAACTAGTCACTTATTAACGTGTTCTGTTTCTAAGATGAAATGATATATGATATACATATTTTTAAAACATTTTATTGAAGTATAATATATATTCAGAAAACTACATAGGTAGTAATGCACAATTTGATAAACTTTCACAAACTGAACACACATATGTAACCAGAACCTAGATCAAGAAACATGACCAGCCCCTCACACCCAGTTCCAGCAATTCCGGGAACCCATCCCAAGAACAGCCACCATCCTGACTTGTAACAGTCTAAATTGGTTTTGCCCATTGTTAGGGTTTGGATTTTCATCCCTGCCCAAATCTCATGTTGAGCTGAAATCCCCAGTGTTGGAGGAGGGGCCTCGTGGGAGATGACTGGATCAAAGGGGCAGATTTCCCAATTTGCTCTTCTCGTGACAGTGAGTTCTCAGAAGATCTGGTGGTTTAAAAGTGGGTAGCACCTCCCACTTCACTCTCTTCCTCCTTCTCTGTCCATATAAGATAAGCCTGCTTCCCCTTCACCGTCCACCATGATTGTAAGTTTCCTGAGGCCTCCTCAGCCATGCTTCCTGTACAGCCTACAAAACTGTGAGCCAATTAAACCTTTTTTCTTTATAAATTATCCAGGTTCAGGTATCTCCTTATAGCCATGTGAGAACAGACTAATACACCCATTTTTGCATTTCATATGAATGGAATCCCACCATATGCTGATTTATGTCTGTTTTGTTCAATACTATATTTTATACATCGAAATAATACGTTAACCTCCAATGCTAACCTCTACAGCACTGTAATTTTTATTTTATTACAACACAATATTTCAATGTGTTCCAGGAACACAAGAATATTCATTATTATAGATAACATTTCAGTGTTTATTTGTTTATAGAAAATCAGTAAATAAAACTTCAGTTTATTAACATGTGTTTCAAAGTTCACTGCTTTGCCAAATTGAATTTTGGCAATTTAAAAAATAATCTAAAAATCATTATACACATAAAGATATAGGAAAGATTTTATTTTTCTTGAAATAGGTACAACTTCAATTTGTTCTAATATTCTGAACATTTCTCTATATTCTCAGTGTTTTCTCTCATGACATTTTGTGATCTAAATGATTTTAAGATTTATAAACCAAATTCTTTGGAACAGTCAATTCTTTAGATCAATTTGTTCTCCAAAGCAGGTTATGACGTGATTCAAATGACATACTAAACCTGGAAGTGAATCCCACTTTTGCCACAAATTAGCTGTGTAACTTTAGGTAAGTTCCTTAACCTTTCTGTGCTACCTTCTGCATCCATAAATAAGATGGTTTCTGCAGGTTCTCCGAGCTCAAAACATTCTAGTTCAAAAATATTTTCAAGTAAGAATTTGCCAAAAACAAGAGAATCAGGAAACAAAAGGTTTCAGGAAACAAAAGGAAACAAAAGTTCCATCAGTTTACTTTAAAAAGGAATAGCTGCTACCATGTGCTGAACTGGTTCCTGGACCAATCCACAGTGAGACACTCATTCAGTAGACCATCTTCCATTTTCCCTGTACAGTAAATGCTTGAAGGTAGCTCCCAAGAATGTTATACACTTTCCTTATGGAGGTGTATAAAATTCCCTGTCACACCCAAAGGGTATCGTAGAAATGTATTTCCTTTTGGGCAACATCTTTGTTATTGAAAGAAAACCTCCAAAATGGTGTTTCCACTTTTTTTTTTTTTTTTTTTTTTTTTGAGATGGATTCTCGCTCTGTCACCCAGGCTGGAGTGCAATGGCATGATCTCAGCTCACTGCCATCTTCGACTCCCAGGTTCAAGTGATTCTTCTGCCTCAGCCTGCTGAGTAGCTGGGATTACAGGTGCGTGCCACCATGCCCAGCTAATTTTTGTATTTTTGGTAGAGATGGGTTTTCACCACGTTGGCCAGGCTGATCTTGAACTCCTGACCTCAGGTGATCCACCAGCCTCAGCCTCCCAAAGTGCTGTGATTACAGGCGTGAGCCACTGTGCCCAGCCTGTTTCCACATTTTAAACTTACCTTTAAGTACTCAAATGAAGAGCTGTGTCTATGAATGGCATTTTCTATATGGCAAGCTTAAGCAATGGGTATAACTATGGGACACAAAAACTTATAATCCAAAAGACCACCAGGATGACTAAATAGTAGAAAGAAGAGCTTTATTGGTGATATCAGTTGCAAGCTGGAAGAGAAAGTCTCCAGCATGGACCAAAGATGCTCTCTCTTCAAACAGGGGAAGGACAGGTTGGGTCTCATTCCTCTGAGAGTCTGTATTACACAATAGAGTCATACGTATTCAGCAGGTTTGGGGTAGAAGCTATACATATTTATGAGGAGAGCCAAGCACAGGAGCAATGAATAAACAAACATGTAATATACATCCCATATTCACTTTGGGGCAAAAGGTGAACTATAGGACACAAAGACAGTGTGTGTGCAGCCTCTATAAGCTGGCTGAAACTGGCTTAAGGTCTGCAATTGCTCATCAGAAAAGAATGTTTGTAAGGCCTGTCCTCTGTCCAATCAGAATAGTAGTGGTCTGGATTGCAAATTGGAGTTAGGATAATTTGCCCAATAGCTCCTATTGTTAGGGAGTTTAGCAAGAGTGTGGATTTTCTTACAGGAATTTAGAAATTCGCAAGGCCAGCTGGGCCCTAAGCTCTCAATCCATAGGTAAAATTTTTTTTTCTTTTTTTTTTTTTTTGAGACGGAGTCTTGCTCCATCACACAGGCTGGAGTGCACTGGCATGATCTCAGCTCACTGCAACCTCCGCCTCCTAGGTACAAGCAATTCTCCTGCCTCAGCCTCCTGAGTAGCTGGGACTGCAGGTGTGTGCCTCCGTACCCAGCTAATTTTGTATTTTTAGTAGAGACGGGGTTTCACCATGTTGGCCAGGATTGTGTTGAACTCCTGACCTCGTGATCCACCCACCTCTGCCTCCCAAAGTGCTGGGATTACAGGCGTGAGCCACCTCACCTGGCCAACTTTTTGTTTCGTTAACCTTAAGGTCCTTCTTCATTGATAAAGTAATGTCTACTTTGGTCTCCCAGATCACAATCTCAATCTATTTTCCCAAAGAGAAAATTAATCAGGTAAAACAGTTGATTAATGATTAGCAAATAACAACAAAAAACACCTTAATACTTTAGTCCTTAGAATCCTTAAGTCTAATCATAATGCTTAAAAAAACAGCACTTCATATTGACGATAATGTAGTTCTTCAGGTAATAAAAAAAATTTAAAAAATAAAAGCACTTCATAGATAAGGGACAAATATTATTTTTTTTCATCTCCCTTTCTTATGTTCCCACAAATGGGAAAACTGGGGTTATCTTCAAGTTTACATGGTAATTTAAAAAATGAAAGCAAAAATCTAAAGGATGTTGATAAATATGCTAATATATTGCCTGCTGAAGTCCATGCCTGTTTTCCATTCGGTGAGGTCTAAGCTTATGGCTTCATTTTGTGAATATAAATTAGTGAAAAACAAAAACAAAGGCAGAACCAGTCGATATGGGCTTTCTGTCATCTTCAAATGGGGAACTGCAAACGTTTAAATCAATCCCCAGTCCTATTTTTGGTTTGAGGGAGACATATATCAACACAGATTTTTTTTTTTTTTTTACCTCTGAAAAGTAAGTCACTACTTACGTAAAACAAACACCCCAGAAAGGAAAGCTTCATCATCCTCCGCCTGCAGTGGGATTTGGGGAAGTGTGCTGACGCAACTCAGATTTTCAATTGCCAAACAACGACTGAGCTCATCTGTATGGAGTTGGTAAATTAGAAAAGGTAAACGACAAGAAATGTTGCGTAATGACACCATAAGAAAAAAAAAGTCATTTCTGAGTTTGCTGTTCTTTAAACTCTTTGAATTCTTGCTTCAGTGGCTCTGTTGAGTCACAGCTGTGATCCATGTTGGCATGAACCAAAAATAACATGACTAACTGCAAAGGTTACAGGGTTTTGGCCAGCTTTTTACGGCCACACAGCAGTACCTTTCTGTTGAGTGGAAATGTAACATTTAGCTTGTAAGGCAAATCTTTCTCAAGCAGGTTCTTATTCAAAGTTGTTTTAAGTCTTCCCAAGGCGTTGTTTCTGCTCTGCTGAAAGCTGGAGTCAGCAGACTGCTAAGGTCTGAAAGATACAGAATTTAAAGGACACACTTATCTTAGTGCAACTTCCTGTAAACATCCTATGCCTGACAAGACCACTAATGGAGAAAATGTAGCACGTTGCTTAAGTAACATAAAATGAGTACTACATCTGACTTCCATTAGCAAACATAAACGCTTTTCAGACTCCTTTCCCCTTCTTCCCCCTCCTTCCCCCAAAATGGCACTACGGACTGCTTCACTTTTTCCAATCCTACAGTGATATTTGGAAAGTTCCATTTGCTTCCGTGAAGAAAAATACAGAGAAGGAAAAAATACATAATAGCCATCTATCATCTTGTATGTGAGGCTGCTTGGTTATGGGATTCTCCCCTCCCCACCAGAAAACTCTGTGTGTTCTATGACTAATTTAGGTATCATGGTGATAACCCTATTTTTCTCTAAATAAATGACTTGTATATTCAAGTAATTTTTTGTTTTGTAATCTCTCAACGAGGGTTTGGTTTGCCCTAATCGATCTTTCATTCATTTTTGTCATTTGTTCATTTTGTCATTTTGTCACTTATTGGACAAATATTGATTAAATGCCTATCATCCTATAGGATGACAGTAGTCAGTGGCACCAGACACAGTGCTTGCCCTTGTGGCAGGGGATTTAGTAGGAAAGACTGACGTGAATCAAAGAATCACAAAATAAGTTTGATAAAACAATTGGGATAAACACTCCAATTTTGTGTTGACAAAACAATTGGGATAAAGGTTCCAATAAAGGGGAACAACACACTTTAATAGAACGTAAGGGGCCTGGCACAGTGGTTTATGCCTGTAATCCCAGCGCTGTGGGAGGCCGAGACTGGCGGATCACCTGGGGTCAGGATTTCAAGACCAGCCTTGCCAACATGGTGAAACCTCGTCTCTACTAAAAATATAAAATTAGCTGAGTGTGGTGGCACGCGCCTGTGATCCCAGCTACTCAGGAAGCTGAGGCAAGAGAATCGCTTGAACCTGGGAGGCAGAGGTTGCAGTGAGTCGAGAGCACACCATTGCACTCCAGCCTGGGTGACAGAGCAAGACCCCGTCTCAAAAAAAAAAAAAAAAAAAGAACATAAGGTTAAGAGGGTTGAACCTAACCACGTAACCAAGGAGGTTAAGAAAGGTATCTCCAAACAAGGAATATCTGAGCAGAGATTTAAAGGGTGAGACAGAATTAATTGGGAGTGAAGAGGGAGGAAGAGCCATCTAGGTGGAGGACTGCTCTTTTCTGATGGGGAGACCCTGCGCAGGAGAGCATGGGTGCATTTGTGGAACTAGAAGATCTGGGTAGTCCAAGGGACAAAGCAGAGGCCAGAGTGGGTACAGGGCCAGGAGTGAGGCTGGAGAGCTGGGTAGGACAGAGACTACCTAGGGACTGGGCGCCACTGATCAATTATTTTAAGCCTTTCTCTTAAGAAAAGAAGGAAGCCATTAAAGGTGTTTTAAGTAGTGGGTGACTACCAGATTTCAGTTTTATATTTGCCACACAAGCTAATGGTTGAGTCACGAAAAGAAAGAAAAAAGAAAAGAAAAACCCAACAAAGACCCAAAAATGAATTCTGGGCTTAATTATTCATTATTGGTAGGAATATCCCCAGCAACACATTACAAATAAACTTGGCACATGTGCGGTTCCTAGCAAGGACAGACAACGATTCTTCTTTTCATGGTCAGAGAACGTTGACCCAAACCGTGGTCACTTTGCCATTAGTCACGTCAGCTTTGGTCAATCCCAACCCACATGTTTCCAAAACACTGTGGAGGTGCTCTGGCAAGACAGATCCAAGGCCATCAATAGGCCAATGAACCCAAGCGGCCTCAGGTCTTGGGCGTCTCTGAATGGAACACCTGCAGGGAAATGCAAGCATGAGAGCAAGTCCACAGAGCCCAGGCTAGTGGGTGCTCAGGACGAAGGCATTCAGGTGCTTCGTTTTGTCTTGTGTGAAACAGCCTTCAGATGTTCTAAAGTGAGACAGTCGGCTCGCTATGGCAGACCTCTAAGTTCCACCCTTTCCAAGCGGACTTCCTCAGGAACCTCCACAATCAACCTGTGCAGGTCCCAGCATCCAGATTATTATCAACACCTGGGAAGTGTTTGCTTTGAGTGCCTTTCTCTCTCTTCCTTGCCCAACTCCTACCAGCTAAAGCCTCCAAGACACGCCCATAAGATGTCCTGCCATTGAGAAAAAAAATAATAATAAAAACTGTGAGTAGAGTTCTTACAAGGAAAAAGTGCTTTTTAAGATTTTTAAAAATATTTTAAGAATGAGAAGGGGGCCAGTTGTGCGTGGTTGCTCGTGCCTACAATTCCAGCACTTTGGAACGCTGGGATAGGAGGATTGCCTGAGCCCAAGAGTTCAAGACCAGCTTGTACAACATGGTGAAACCCTGTTTCTAATTAAAAACATACCTATATATATATGTATATATTGTCATCTGATTCTCTCTATATATACATATATACACAAATATATATATTTGTATGTATTGTCATCTATTCTATATAGATATATATTTATATTTATTATATAAATATATTTATATATAGTCATCTGACTATATATTATATATACTATATATATATATCTTCTCTATACAGAGTATATATACTACATATCTCTCTATATACCCTATATTATTATCAGATGACAATAGGTATACCAGGCTCTCCTTCTCAACCCCCATGCACAAAGCCAGGCCCTGCAGTAGAGCCCAATGCAGCTGTGAAATATTAGGAAAACACCCGAAACCTAGCAAGTGCTGAAAAGATAATGACTGGAATGCTCTCAGCGCAGTGCCTAGCACTTGGTATGGAGCTACCATCATTACCATCATTGTTGCTATTAAAAATTGCTCTCGGCTAGGTGCCGTCGCTCATGCCTATAATCCTAGCACTTTGGGATGCTGAGGCGGGAGGATCGCTTGAGCCCAGGAGTTCAAGACCAGCCTGGGCAACATGGCAAAACCCCGTCTCTACTAAAAATACAAAAAATTAGCCAGGCATGGTGGTGCTTACCTGTGGTCCCAGCTACTCAGGAAGTTGAGGTGGGAGGATTCCTTGAGCCCAGGAGGTTGAGGCTGAAGTGAGCCAAGATAGCGCCACTGTACTCCTGCGCTATACCCAATGGGTGCAGGAGGCACAGTGCTGAGGGCCCACGGTACTTGGAGGAGTCCAAAAAGTGTTTTTATTTCTTTCAAAATCAGAAGAAAAAAAGTAAATTTTTAGGCCAAAGGCTGTGTCTTCCTATGTCAGCCTGGGTGATGGAGTGAGACCCTGTCTCAAAGAAAAAAAAAAAATTGCTGTCTCTGAGTGCTGCCTTTGCACTGCCTGAAGGTAAATACCCTGATGAACCTGGAAGTTGGACTGAAGGAGCATGTAGCCCATGTCACCTGTCCCACAGCACAGAATGAAACCAGGTCCAGAATCCAGGCAGGAGTTTGCCTCCCAATAAATTACTATCATCAGGGGTGCATTAGGACTCTACTGGGCCGTTGGGCATTTCTGTCTTCCTAGACCTTTCCTCCACCAAAAAAAGGAAATAGTGTACATGTATAAATTATAATTTGCAGCCACATTGGCATAGACAAATATAATGAATCTGACATATGAAGACCAAGCCTTTGGCCTAAAAATTTACTTTTGTTCTGATTTTGAAAGAAAGAAAAACCCTTTTGTGGATTCCTCCAAGTACCATGGGCCCTCGGCACTGTGCCTCCTGTACCCAGTGTGCAAGCAGGCCCTGACTATGACGACGCCTTTGCCTCTCAGAAACATGCTTCCACATAGCGGTGTGCCGGTGACCCCGGGCACCCAGGACTCCACACACACCACTGTCACACTTAGTGTGAATGTCACACAGTGTGAACGTTGCTGTGGCACTTCACCGTTATTCCGAGAGCTCTAGGAGCACAGAAGCACCTTCTGTGCTAATTTTCCTCCTTATCACTTAGCAACATACCCAGCACGAAAGAGGAACTCAGTAAGTGTCCATTAAATGAGTATAATTCTGATGGGTGCAGTGGGAGGATCACTTGAGGTCAAGAGTTCAAGACCAGTCTGAGCAACAAAGCAAGACCCCCCCCTCCGTTTCTACAAAAAAAAAATTAAAAAATTAACTGGGCATGGTGGTGTGCACCTGTACTCTTAGCTACTCTGGAGGCTGACAAGGGAGGATGGCTTGAACCAAGGAGTTGGATGCTGCAGTGAACTATGATTGCCCCACTGCACTCTAGCCTAGGCAAATGAGCAAGGCCCTGTATCTTTAAAAAAAAAAAAAAAGTGTAATCCAATAAGCTGGATGTAGGAAGACTCGGAAACCTTGACTCAAGGTTCAGTACCATCCTGTGTAGACCTAACTCGGCAGACCTAACTAATGACCAATGGGTCTGGAGTGAGAACTCAGGCTGCAACACTCCACAGCTGGGCAGCTTTGGGCAAATTTCCCAGCCTCTCCAGGCCTCAGTTTCCCCACCTTTAAAAGGAAGGATCATGGAATTGTGGTAGGAGTCAAAGGAGATCATACTTGTGGAGAACTCAGTGCACAGCCTGACACGTCATAAGGAATAAGGAGTCACTACCTGGTAAATATCATTGCCGTTTAGCCGGAAGAGATATAAACATACCTGTGCTATTGTGTCGTGAAAATAGAGTGGGATAATGAAGACTGAAGGGCTTTCTTAATTGTGATGAATGACAGAGTATTAGGATGGATAACGCATTAGAAGACCTGAATCTGTATCCCAGCTCCAAAGCTGACCAGGTAGGAGACTTGAAACAAAGTACTTACCTTATCAAGCCTCATTTTATTCATCCACAAGATGGAGATAATGCCTGCCTCAGAATGTGGCTTTGAGGATAAAATATTGCGAATGTGAAAAAAGAGTGTTGTAAAGTCCGAGGTACTATTAAAAGTTACTGCACAGCTGTTGCTCTTGGTATCCAATCCATAAATCCATAGTTTATGCTTAACAATGTCAGTCATCAATCCCATCTTTTTCCTCCTCTTCTGTCAAACTCCTTCGGGTTTTAGCACTAAAGCCAAATTCCTTAATAAAACCTCACTCTTTAATGAGGTCTTCCTTGTGGTTTTTCATTTTCTTATAAGCCCTTAACTTTTGGCTAACCTGAGCCACTTACCCTATATACTTTATTATTATTATTATTATTGTTATTATTATTATTATTATTATTTTACTTTTTTTTCTCTCCTATATACATTTTGCTAGTCTCAAAATGATCCTGCTCCTGTGGGAAGTTTGAGGGCACTTGGGGTGAGACCCTCCTGAAATTTTCCAGTTTTCAAACCCACTAGCCCCAGCCTGTATTAAATGACCTAACCTAAAAGGCACCAACCATGCTACTCACGCCCCCTTCCCTGGAGTAGACAGGCATAGATTTCCTGCCCTTTTCTAAATCCATTGTTCTAGGTTTAGGAGGAAGTTGTAAAACAGACAAAAGCTCTGATAGATGCACCCTCAAGGGTGAGACCGAAAGGACTCCTCGCTGCAATAGACAGTTTCAAGCCCCCAAAAGAGTCATCTCTGACTTTGCTCTCAGACCTCAGACACTGCCGCCCCAGCACCATGAGTCACCCTCCCGGAGGAAAGGGTGGGGATGCAGAGAGTCAACAGAGAGCGGGCACCTGAGTCTGAGAAGCTTGGGAATGTGCTATCTCGTCTCGGGGAGGCGGCTCCCTGGCTCCTGTGGAGATCACCAGCACAGAGATTCGGGTTTGAAAGAGATCATTGTGGACTAGTTCTCATTAACGTCCTTGCCCAGTTCAGCTTTCAACGCCAGAAAAATGTGCCTGTGATTCAGCAAATACCTCCTTTGGGTTTTATGGCTGCAAATTTCCGTTGGAGCCACGTAGAAGTAAGAATTCTCCTCTTACCCATGTCATCTGCTTCTCCCCCTCCTGACATCTTTCCCTTCACACTCCACACCTGAGGACCATGGGAGGAGCTGGGGGTGGCACTGGCAACAGATGTCTCGCCCATGGAGGCATTTCCCCAATAGGCTGCAACCCAGAACGACGGAGCACCTTGGAGCAGGATCATGACCCAGGGCTGAAAATCCCCTTTTCACGGTGCCTTCAGTGGGGGCCATCTTAGCCTCAATGCTCTAAGAACTACGTGCTTACCAGGCCGTCATCTCACCACACGGAGGGGCCTGGCAGGCAGCCTTATCTGTGTTAGTGCATTCTGCTCATCCCAAGGTGGACACCTGACCCAGGCTGGCCAAATAGGAATGAGGAATCAGAAATCTGAGACAGCGGCCGGGCGTGGTGGCTCATGCCTGTAATCCCAGCACTTTGTGAGGCCGAGGCAGGCGGATCACCTGAGGTCAGGAGTTCGAGACCAGCCTGACCAATATGGTGAAACCCCGTCTCTACTAAACATACAAAATCTTAGCCAGGGGTAGTGCTGGGTGCCTGTAGTTCCAGCTACTCAGAGGCTGAGGCAGGAGGATCACTTGAACCTGGGAGACAGAGGTTGCGGTGAGCCGAGATCGTGCCATTGCACTCCAGCCTAGGCAAAAAGCGCGAAACTCCGTCTCAAAAAAAAAAAAAAATTCAAAGAAGGAAAAAAAGAATTCTGAGACAGCTAGTCAGTGGACAGAGGAAGGAGGGGAAGGGAGGAGAGGGAAGGGGGAAAAAGGAGCAGGGAGGGCAGGGCAGAGTGATGATCTGGGTTCCTGATGGTTCTCTGGTTCTTGACTCCCACCCCTCCCCCCATACCCGGCAGCTTCCCTGGCCTCAGGCTCTATGAGACACACCTGCATCTGTGTAATAAATTCCCACCCTTGTTTAAGCTAGTTCGAGTTGATTTCTGATACTTACAACTATTGTAGACATTGAGTTGCCTCCTGACATGTATTTTCCCTTTCTTGGCAACTACCTTGATTTCACTGTTATTCACACTTCTTAGTCCCATTCACATGCTTCAGGAGAAGGGGACTGATTTCAGAACAATACATTTACTCAGGCTTAAGTTAATCAGTATAACCTGATCCCCCAACTGCAGCTGAAGTTTCAGAAATGGGCCCATCTGCCATGGAAGCCAGTGGGATGTGGAGAAAGAGTTGATGAGGTCTTCTGGAAGCTTCCAGAATGACCGCTGCACTCACTGGGTCCTCATGAAGAAGCATGAAGACCAGAGAGTTACTGACAGCCATATATTAACCACAAAGAGATGACACCATGAAGGCTAAATGGAAAGGTGAAAGAGAAGCCTTGTCTTGGAAGATGTCATGAAGCTGCCAAATCAAACCAAATCCCAAAGTTCACCCTCCCTCAGACTATTCAGTTACAGGATCCAATAAATCCCTTTAACTAAACATCTTAACTAAAATCCCTGAGACACGACTCCAACGCACATGCTTCCAACTGCAACAATCCAACCCACCTAAGTACATTCTGGGAGAATGAAAAATAAAACAGGAAAAGAGTGCTTGACTGGAAAATTGGAGGCTTCCAAGATACTGGTCCTCCTCCACCACTAATTACCTATGGAACCTTAGGCGAGCCATGTACCTTCTTTGAGCCCAGTCACTCCTTTGCAGAATGAAACCGATTAGACTTCCAACACTAACATTCTATGACTTTATTTGTAGACCCTTAGTGCCAACTTGTATTGAGTCCCATAGGGGTAGTTTATAATTTCATCAGTGAATCTTGCCAAGATCTCAACTTGGAAACTAACAACAATAAACAACAGAAAAAAAAAGTTTTTTGCATTAAATCTCTCACTGTGAAGAGTGAGAAGTGTTAGAGTTGGAATTCTAACAACAAAAGGTGGAGAGAGGAAATGAGTGAATACAATGAAGAATCTTCTGGCTGAGCCCTATTCACAAAGGCCAGTCTTTTATTTTTGAGTTACAATAACCAAGGAATCCATGGTTTGGTGGCCCCGCTGGTCACACCCAGCTTGAGGGCATCCTTCACTTGAGCTATGTGGTTGGGGCTGACTCCGGTCCATCAGGCTTGTAAAAAGAATCCAAGGGTGTAATATTTAATTTAGGTTTTGAATTTGTTGATCTCTTAAAAGTTAGTATTTGTTATTGATATTATTTTTCAAGACATTTTTTGATTGTCAGAGATTGTTTTGTTTTTCCCTTTTGTGGCTTGGTTACTGTTAAGAAAATAAAACCTGCCCCAACCCTGAAACTCAGAACTGATACTCCAGGTTCTCTCACTGGAAAGAATAACAAAAACAAAAACCAGCATAACTGACTTCCACAACAAAGAGCATATACAAGATTGTGCGCACACACTCACACAAGTTCATGAAGGATCTTGGACCCAATTATGCAGGAATCAAGCTGGGACCCGACTTGCCATATGGATTTACTTTTACTAGAGGTTTCCAAATATTCAAGTTTACAGCAGGCTTCAGTACCATATTTTTCAAGAAGTCTCTTCTCCCCACAGCTTTAAATATAACCGAGCAAAAGTCAAGCCTGATCTCCAAAGAACAAAGCAGGAAAAGTTCATAGATCATCACTGGGTGAAGTACCAAGGATGTATCGTATGACAGGATCAGGGTGTCAGGCCAATTTTAAGACTGATGTCTACCCATACTACGAAAAATAATACTGGAGAAAAATAGATTTCTGGAGATCAGAAAGAAACAGTATGGTGTGCATTTCCCAAATGCATTCAGATTAGCTTTAAACAACAACAACAAAAAGGCTATTTTGTTGGCCAAAAATGTATTTCAAACAAAAAATATGTCAGAGTTCTCTCAACTCTCAGACTTCATTTGAGACCTAGAAGTAATCATAGTGCTTGACCAGTCTAGTCTCCTTATTGTTATTTGGTATATCTATGCTGCTTTACACACAAAACTAACCTGAAATATAAGTAAACCTATCAAGAGTGCAATATTCAATACTGTATGATTTTATCTGCACCAAGTTCAAAAACAGACATAATCTCTAGTGTTGGAAGTCAGAATACTGGTTCTGGAAGATTAAGGGGGTGAGGGAGGGGCTTCTGGTAATGTCCTATTTTTTTTTGTCTTTTTTGGTCTGGTTTTTGAGACAGGGTCTTATTCTGTCACCCAGGCTGGAGTGCAGTGGCGCAATTGCAGCTCACTGCAGCCTCGACCTCCCTGAGCTCAAGCGATCTTCCCATCTCAGCCTCCCGAGTAGCTGGGACCACACACATGTGTCACGATGCCCAGCTAATTTTTGTATTTTGTAGAGACAAGGTCTCTCTGTGTTGCCCAGGCTGGTCACAAACTCGTGGTCTCGAGTAATCCTCCCACCGCCATCTCCCAAAGTGCTGGGATTCCAGGAGTGAGCCACTGTGCCCAGCCTGTCTCTTGATCTGGGTGGCAGTTGGTTAAACACATGACAGTTGTAATAGTTCATCAAGCTTTACAGGTATGATCTGTGCACTTTTATATGTATGTTATACATCAATGTAGAAGTCTACTTCAGAAAAAAAGGAACAAAGATAATCAAATCTAAGTCAAAAAATGGAGAAATAACAACCTGTTTTGCTCTCAATCTAATACAATAATTTAGAAAGACATAAATTCTAAATTCACTTAATTTATGTACAATACAATTAACTTCTCTGATGTGTATTTCTGTGAATCTGACAAGTGCGTGCAGTTAGACCACCATAATCAAGACAGAACAGTTCCATCACCCCCCAAATTTCCTCACACTGCCCTTTTGTAATCAACCCAAGCCCCCATGTTGGACTCCTGGCAACCACTGATCTGTTCCTATAATTTTGTGTTTTCCAGGATGTCATGTAAACAGAATTGTACAAAATGTGTCTTTTAAGTTTGGCTTCTGTCACTTAGTATGAAATTTATCTATGTTGTTACATTAATCAGTAATTTGTTCCCTTTTAGTCCTGAGCAGTATTCCATTATTTGGACATACCACGGTTTGTTTACCCACTCAACAGTTGAAGATATTTGGGTTGTTCCCAGCTTTTGATGAATGTGAATAAATATGCTAGAAACATTCACGCACAATTTTTATATGAACAAAAGTTCCCAGTTCTCTTGGGTAAACACCTAGGAGTGGGATTGCTGCATTGTGTGGAAAATGTGTGTTTAACTTCACAAGATACTGCCAAAGTGTTTTCCAAAGTCGTTGAGCTGTTTGCGTTCCCACCAGCAATGAATGAGACTTCCAGTTGCTCTGCACCCTTGTGAACCTATAAGATCATCTTTTCTCTTTTTTAGTCATTCTAATTGCTGAAGGGGTCATTTTCACAGAAATCGTTTCCTGAAGATTCTGCTAAAGGTATGCATGGCAAGTTGAAAATTCAGGAAGAGATAAAATAATTCGGCTGGTTGATTGAAAGTATTACACTTCCTTGTAAATAATTAACTTATTTTCAAAAGTAAAGCTTTAATCTGATTTTCTTTAATAATTGATACTGAGTATTTAATATTCATTAGCCATTTGTATTTCTTCATATATGAATTCCCTTTCCCATTTTTCTATTATTTTAAAAACAAATTTAAAAGAACTTTTTGTACAGTTTATGGAAATCAGACTGTTTATTGCCATTATGTTGTAAATACATTTGTTTGTGCTTTTACTTTATGAAGATTCCTGCTACAACGAGTTTTTTTAAGTCTATAGTCAAATTTATGATTATTTTCCACTGTGGTTCCTGAGTTTGGTAGTATGGTAGAAAGCTGTTTTCCACTCAAAGATTATTCAAAAGTTCTCACCAATATTTCCTTTTTTTTTCTTAGGACTTCACTTTCTTCTGTGTAAACACTTTTCTATCTAGAATTAATTTGGGGTTCATAATTAATTAAAGTAAGAATATCAACCTAACGAGATTAAAATTAAGTAAGAAAAAAATTTGCAGGTAACAGCTGAAAAACATTTTTTAAGATTAACAAAGGGATAATTTAAATTTAGGTTTGTAAAATCACTTTCATATGATGCCACATTCCAACTTTATAGTCTTTGGAGATCTTTTACTTTTTTCAGTTTTAATTAAAACTGAACGTAATACAGACTTGCTGGGGAAATGTGATATCAATGCCTGCTCTTAACTTACATATTTGAATGTAAATGTAAATTTATTTTTAAAAAAAATTTTTAGAGACAGGATCTTATATGTTGCCCAGGCTGGTCTCAAACTCCTGGCCTCAAGGGATCCTCAAGGCTTGGCTTCACAACGTGCCACGATTACAGATGTAAGCCACTGCTCCTGGCCTTAAATGTAAATGTAAGTGGCATAGTTTGATCTTTAATAGCTATAACAGTATCTTAACACCATTTTTTTAATTAAGAAAAACAAATTCAAACAACAACCTGATTACAGTAAATATAAATTCCAATGCATAGGGTTATTCTATAAAACAGATAAAAATATTCCCATCACCAGTTGTTAAAATTCATATTTCTCTCCACTAACTTGACATGCCACATATATTATATACTAAGTTCCCATTTGTTCTTGGTTTATTTCTAGATTTTCTATGATTTTTCCTTAATCAGCCTATGACATGAATACTTTTACAATTTCAACACATTATACTTTTAAAATTGGAAGAGACTGTCATTTTTATATTTTATTGTGAAAATTAACAGATACAGAAAAAGTGCATATGATATGTAAGAACATTTAAACAAACAGTTATAAAGTCGGACACCTGGGTAAATACCACCCAGGTCAAGCAATAGAACTAAAATTTATTTTTTTAAAGTTGTCTCTCACAGACTTCCTATTTAAAATAAGAGCTATCATCTAGTTCTGATGGTTAGGCAACCCTATTTTTAGTTATTTAGTAAAAGTTTGAATGTAAATTGATAATGAAACTACCAAAGCTCCAGTGAATATAAAGTACTCGGTTAATTTTGTTACTTTTATAAGTAAATGGAGTTTAAACTTCCTTATCATTCCTCATTATACAAATACAAATAATTGTTTCTTATTACACAAAAAGATTTTTCTAAATAAATCCATCACGTAAAGAACATTTGAACTTGAGACGAAACCCTTTCCAGGTGTTCAGAAGCATTTGTTTATTTATAAATGGTGTAGGACTGTGCTGTCCAACAGGGCATCCACAGGTGGCTATTTAAACTTAAATTTCAATTAATTAAAATTAAACAAAGTTGAACATTTAGTTTCTCAGTCATACTAGCCACATTTCAAGTGCTCAAGAGCCACGTGTGGTGGTGGCCGCCATATTGGATGGCACAGATACAGTACATTTCCATCACGCAGAAAGTTCCATTGCATAGCGCTGGGTTAGCCCCTCCTTGGCTTCCACAAACCATTTGGGGTGTCTTAGAACACCCAAATATAAGATGTCTTGAAAACATACAAAATATGCAGTTTAAAAAAACATAGCAAAGAGAGATCAGAAATTATATGAGAGAGAACAAAGAAATCTGATATACAATTGAGCACTACATCTTGTTCTAACCTTGTTTAGCTAAAGCTAAACAAACAAACGTAATATTCAATGAATCACATAGCTCTCTTTAGGCAGAAGGAAGCATATACTTTTATTTGGTAAGACATACTGTTTCCTGGCAACACTATTTGGCAAGAAGATATTATGGTAGCCCTCTCTCAGTGTAAACCAAGGGTGGTTGGACCATTTAGGTGGCCTCTGTTCATCTCCAGCATGCCTTGAGGTTGGCTCATCAAAAAACACCAAAAGTCACTGGTAAGTGGTGTCTTTTTGTGAGGAGATGAAGAAGGGGATAATGTCACATAGCACATGGCAAACCTCATCCAACTGCATAATAGGTATCTCTGTCCTTATCCATCCCAAGGCTTCTTCTCCAGTGGCCCTTAACTAGGTTTCTTTTCCTCCCGTTTTTCCACTCGTCACACAGCTTCCACAAATCCTCTTTATTGGTCCAAGCAATTCAGCTCAGTGTGCTCCCCTGCAGACCTCACTCAGCAAAACAAAAGCTCAGCGGGGAGCCAGACGGCCACCAAATAACTCCACCAGCCTCCTTCACAGGAGCTCTCTGTTTATCTTACCATGTAAGCAATACTGAGCAAACATTTTAATTGTTTGTTGTTTGTTTTTTGAGACAGGGTCTCCCTCTGTCACCCAGGCTGGAGTGCAGTGGCACCACCATGGCTCACTGCAGCCTCAAACTCCCTAGGCTTAGGTGATCCTCCTACATCAGTCTCCCAGTAGCTGGAACTACAGGCACATGCCACCATGCCCAGCTAATTTTTCTATTTTTTGTAGAGATGGAGTTTTGTCATGTTGACCAGGCTGAACCATTTTGAAAAATGCCGTTGACTGCAATTTTGAAGACAATATGGAGAAAACACACACACATACTGAGATGACATTCAATTATAATTTAGTCAAAGCAATTCTTCAGAGAATTAAACTAACTTGTTCCAGATATTTTGCTTTCTGGTCAACTTACTAGCAGTCGAGGCAAAACAAAAAAACAAATAGACATATGGTGATATGTTTCTCCTCTGGAAGAGGGAAGCATCCACATGTTTATGGGAGGACATTCTCTTTTCTAGCTCTACAGCCAGTGATATCTAAGGCTCAGGGGAAACGACTTGCCCAATCACAAAGATCATTAACTTACAGACCTGGGATTCTACTATATGTCTGTCTAAACAATTCCTTTGCCTCCCTTCTTGACCACAAGCATGAGAGAGAGAAAGGAAAACAGAAGTTCATCATGGTGGCTTCCAAACCTAGCTCCTTCTCAGAGTCCAGTGAGGCCAATATTAGTCACTGTAATGAACTCCCCCAGAGTGACAGCCCTCTGTTGACACTGCACATTTCAGAGGAAGAAACATAAAAGATATGGTCCCATACTTTTCACCCTTCTTGACAGAAGGAAATTAATCAGCAGTCTCTTTGGACACTGAAATTATAATCAGAGAACTGGGAAAGACCCTAGAGCTCATGCCCTACAGCTTCCTGCCCCTTTCAGAGGTCACTGGGGTCAGAGATGTTAGGTGATTGACTAGCAAGTTAGGGGTAGAATCAGAACAAGAACCGAAGTTGGCCTGCAGTTCCAGTTATTTAAATCAGAAGACACAAACCATTGGCCCATACTAACTATATTTTTATTAGTTTAATTGCTTGCTAAAGTTTTTAAATTGGGAAATTTCATTCCCAGATATCTGCATTTCTTTTATTTTTAAATTTATTTTTTTTAAGAGATGGGCTCTCATTCTATCACCCAGGCTGCAGTGCAGTGGCACGAACATAGCTCCCTCCAGCCTCAAACTCCTGGGCTCAAGTGATTCTCCTATCTCAGCCTAGTTGAGATTACAGGCATGAGCCACTGTGTCTGGCTTTTTCTTTTTTAAATTGAAAGATTCGCCAACATGGATAATGGCTGCCTGCCTTAAGTGAGCTATGAGCTCTCCGGTTCACTACAGTTGCCAAACGTTTCCTCCTTATTCCACCTGCTGGCTTCATCCTTCCATGCCCCACCTGGCCCCTGCAGCCCTATGGGTTTACAGGCTCTGGTTGAGATAACTAGTACATGCTCACCCTTATCAGTCAGCCAGTAAGCTTTCCATGCTCTGGAACCGCGTCTGATTTATTTATTTTATTTATTTATTTAAATGTATTTACTTTTTTTTGAGACGGAGTTTCGCTCTTGTAGCCCAGGCTGGAGTGCAATGGTGTGATCTCAGCTCACTGCAACCTCTGCTTCCCAGGTTCAAGCGATTCTCCTGCCTCCAGCCTGTAGCTGAAACTACAGGCATGCACCACCACACCCAGATAATTTTTTGTATTTTTAGCAGAGACAGAGTTTCACCATTTGGACAGGCTGGTCTTGAACTCCTGACCTCAGGTGATCCGCCTGCCTTGGCCTCCCAAAGTGCTGTGATTACAGATGTGAGCCACCGTGCCTGGCCAGATTTATTTTTGTAACTTCAGTAATGAACAATGCCATATGATCCACAATTAATGCACATTCATTTTTGAATGAATGTTGAATGAATGATGGATTGACAATTAGTTAAGGAAGGCAATGGGAAAAGGCACAGTGTTCGGCTCACAGTTCTGCCCTCTATCCTGAGCTGCTAACATGATGGGTGACAGCAGCATCCACACAGACCATCTAGAAGTCTGCCCACCTCATTGGTCCCTCATCACCTCAGCTCCAGCCACCTTCACCTCCACTTCACTCCCCGCCAACTCTACCCACACCCAATGTCACACACAAGACTTTGAGATTCCTTTGAAGCATTAAATAGCCAACATCTCCTCTCTCTGACCAAAGTGCTCATCTTGTGAGCCCTGTCACCCCCTTGCTTCCATCATGCCCAGTCTGTAAACCTGCAGGGACAGACCCTTAGTTCTCCATCACCCTCTTGTCTCCCATCAACACTCTTGACTACACATCCTTCTTTGGCTAGCCCAGCTGCCATGCACCATGTCACCCAACCTCAAGATGTTTTTCAGACTCAAAAGGAGTACTGTGGTCTGATAATTTCAGAGCACTTTTCACAAACATTTTTAGGGTCCAAAATGTGTAATTTAGCAACTTTAAACAAATACCCTACTTTGAGGAGGTTTTTGCTCTGCCTTTTATCTCTTCGGTTTTGTTTTCTTGTGCACCATAACTTTTTCTTTCTTGAGCATAAGGTTTGCATTGTGGTATATGTGTGTGTGTGCATGAGACCCACCAGATAAAGCACTATGTTAACCTTACTGAAAACTGTGGGTACATCATTCCTAGGGCAGCTGTTTAGAAGACTGTAACTACCGTACACTGCGCTTTCCTGCCTACTGCAGAAGCATTACATTCAAGAATGCTGAAAACTTAGAAAGTCAGCTTTAGAGGCAAAGATATCAACCACAAGGGAATAACATATAATTCTACTATGTAGTGAATATTGTATTTCCAAATAAGTAAAATGCCACAAGTGGGAAGGAGTGACAGTCGAAAAAAAATCCAAATTTTATTAAAATAGCAGTTGCAAATAAAGCTGAATTAACTTTGACAGTCATACTTGCATGAAAACATCTGTTCTTACATGTGTGTCGAGATATCCAAACATCTAAAACTGAAGTATGAATGATCCATTGTTTAATCGGCAAAAGGGCAAGCTCCTTTGTAATGTAAATGAAAATACGGTATAAAAAAGGCAGGAAAAAAGAAATCTTTGGATAAAAACTCAAACATATACACAGAGACTTTGCCAAAGATCAACAAGAGAACAAAAATCCTGAGGAAGAAAGCGGCAAGATGAGGAAAGGCCATTCAGTGGGTCAATTGCCCAAAAACAAAAATAGAAAAGAAGGAGGGATCAGTTAAACAGATGGAGTTGGCAGGGAGCTCTGCATCCAGGAGTGAACAGGAGGACGGTAACCTTTCATAGTCTCCCTACCAGAGCCACTCCCCAGTACTATTCAGTGTGCTGCAGCGTAAGTCTCACTATCCAGGACTGTTGCCCTACGTGAAGTTTGCTTGCTATATGAAATTTCTGGGGCTGCCATGTCAAAAAGGCATACAAAATGCTAGGAGTTGCTTAAAACAAACAAACAAAGAACAAATCAGGCAGGAGGCAGGTTAAAAAGAAATAAAGAAACCAGGAGATGAAATTCCTTGTAGCATTATCTTTCTGGTCTAATAGTAATGAACGTTTCATTATCGCCATTCTAATAAATGGCAAAGAATATATGTTTCGACTCCATTTGCTTCACCATCTAGGCTAGCCAAAAAATGAAAAAGCAATTAAGTTAACAATTAAAGCCAGAGATAATCCTGGCTCTCCCATTTCCAACACTGCCTTATGATGTGATATGTCCTGCTGGAGCCAAAAAAACAAAAACAAAAAACAAAAAAACAAAATTAAAAAAAGGATCATCAACGGCCACTCCCTTCAGAGCCATTTCACCCCGACGTGTCCCAAACCGCTGCTGGATGGTCAAAATCCCAGCAATGGGCAATCAGCCAGGAGGAGAGCCGAATTTCCCCCCAACAGGCTGCATCAATAACAGGCTTGGAAAACCACTTCCAGGGGAGACCCTAGCAAAACGAGGAAACACCTTCAGAAGCACAGGGTCTGCGTAGCAGCTCCGTCCCATCACCGCCTTTGTCAGAGACGTTCAAAACAGAGTGACTCCATCTTGAAAGGGGGCTGGGTAAAATAAGGTTGAGACCTGCTGGGCTGCATTCCCAGGCATACTTAGTCACGGGATGAGATAGGTCAGCAGGACTGGTATCGCAAGATACAGGTCATAAAGACCCTGCTGATAAAACAGCGGTGAAGAAGCAGGCCAAAACCCACTGAAACCAAGATGGTGATAAAAGTGACCTCTGGTCATCTTCACTGCTCATTATATGCTAATTATAATGCATTCGCATGCTAAAAGACACTCTCACCAGCACCCTCACAGTTTACAAATGCCATGGCAACATCCAGAAGTTACCCTATATGGTCTAAAAAGGGGAAGAACCATCAGTTCCGAGACTTGCCTGCTCCTTTCCCAGAAAACTCATAAAACATATAATCAAGAAATAACCATAAACGTACTCAGTCAATCAGCCCTTAGTGCTGTTCTGTGTATGAAATAGCCATTCTTTTGTCTCTTTACTTCTCTAATAAACTTGCTTTTGCTTTATTCTATAGACTCACCCCGAATTCTTTCTAGCGTGACATTCAAGAACCCCTTCTTGGGGTCTGGGTCTGGACCCCTTTCCAGTAACACATTCATCACCATTTGCTATTTTTACAGCATGACCCTGTGGCTGAACCAGGTCAAGAGTAAGGAAGCTGTCCTATCCCCAGCCATCCCCAAGTTCTGTCTAACTGAATGGATATGCCCCCATCCCCCTCCGTCTGTTGTCTGATTGATCTGTCATGTAACATCCTCTCCTGCCCTTCCTGGGAAACGTTTACAGCAATTTAGTACAGTCTCTGTGTTCTGCATTTTTCAAGACCCTCTGCAAATTGCCAACACTTACCATTTCCATCTTCCCTTCCCTTTTTCTCCACACATGCCCTGTAATTCAGCTCGAGAGTAACGCTTGCTCTTTCCCGAACACACACTGAGCTTCCCTCCGTGGAGAAGTTCTGCTCCTGCTCTGGCCATAGGTGAATTCACTACCCTTTGAATGTCATTCGACTTTCCTTTTTTTTAGCTCACAGCCCCTCCCCCAGTTCTAAGAACATGACCATCCCAATACGAAGGACACAGTGCTGCCCTGGAGGAGTTCTGGAACCTTCCAGTACTCACTTCATGTCCTGTCTTCCACCCTTGCTGAGGGTAGGCTCCTTGAGGACAAGAGCGGATGGCAGCCTTCATCCTCACGTACCTCAGGCAGATGATGGTGTGTCTTGCACATAGGCGGTACTTAATAAATATTTGTTTAAATGTTTATGGTTGAACTGGATTGAATTGTAAAGTAGGATTTATGTGGTTTAAGCTTTGGGTAACCTAAGCTAATTTCACAGAGTCATAGAATGCTTGTACCAGAGACAATATAAAGACCATCTAATTGACACTCCTCATTGTGCGGATGAGGAGACTGAGTCCTGGGGAGATTACTGACTTGCCCAAGGACGCACAATTAGAGGCAAAAACCTGAGACTAAGAACAAGTTCCCTAGGACTTAATTCTGACAATCCTATTGCGTATTAAGGCACAACCTTGATATGTTAATTTTAGAATATCTATTGAGGAATTGATTTCTCAGCAATATATGGAGAGCCTCCTGGGTCCCAGGCACTGCGCTCCAGGGGTGGGAACCCAGAAGAACCCCTGGATATCTCCTGCCTTACAAACATGTGAATTGAAACAGTTGGCTGGGCACGGTGGCTCACGCCTGTAATCCCAGCACTTTAGGAGGCCGAGGCAGGCAGATCACCTGAGGTCAGGAGTTCGGGGCCAGCCTGGCCAACATGGTGAAACCACATCTCTACTAAAAATATAAAAATTAGCTGGGCGTGCTGGCATGAGCCTGTAGTCCCAGGTACTCGGGAGGCTGAAACAGGAGAATTGCTTGAGCCTGGGAGGTGGAGGCTGCAGTGAGCTGAGATTACACCACTGCACTCCAGCTCGGGAAACAGAGCAAGACTCTGTCTCAAAAAAAAAAAAGAAAAAAAAAATTGAAACAGTTATCTGTAGGAAAGCAGAAAGTAGACTGTCATTCTCCCAAGATCCCGCACTGCAAGGCTGCATGGGACCTTAGAGATCCTCATTCCCTGATTCAGTGTTACTCAGTGTTTATGGTTTAACTAACCATATTTCTTCTGTATAGGCAAATTTCATTTTTATTCCCCTAATTGTTCTTTCCTGTGCCTTCTGAAACACAAGTCAATGCCTACATTGCCGTCTGCTTTTACTTTTAACTTCTTTAACACTGGCCCAAGTGACAGCTGCATACTCGATATCTTTTGTCTTTAATGTGGATGATAAATAGGACTTGAATTTCTAACATTATGAGGTTTATGATGGGCCATTTCAATTTAGAAGATATACACTATCTTCCCAGCTTCTAAAACAAGGAAAGAGAAGGAGTAGCAAGAATGATTTGAACTCCTAATCTAGCCTCCCCCACATCCCCTCATTTTTAATCTTCTCAGATTTATTGTCTTCCAACATAATAAGGAAAAGAATGGAACGCTTCCTAAAATGTATCCTAGACTGGACATCTGCAAGTTGACCTCTATTATGTGTAATTCTTCACTGTTTCTTACTTTTGTTTCATTTGGACTCTTTCAACAGACATGAGCGCTTTTTGACACACCACAAGGACAGCTACATGAGCAGCGTTAGTTCTTCACAGGACATTGTTTCTCCTACGTACCTCATTAGGAGGTATGACCTCACACAATACAAATCACCTTCAGAAAGCTGACATTTTATTCTTTGTGCAACCTTACTTGTTCAAATATCCAACCATATCCCAAGTATGGAACATCACACAGAGCGTCAGGAGTCCAGCCAAACTTGGATGGAGAGGGGTAGGTCAGAGACGGTGTCAGTCATATTTTAAATTTTCATTTCTTCCACTGGCTTGTGTCCTAAATGCTATTTAATATTTGTTAGCACCAATTTCCTTTGTCTCTGGGAAGGTACTGAATGTGTACCTAACGTGAACTGAATTCCTTATCAGAGGTGAAATAAGAGTTAGGAGGAAGTGAGAATAATCCTCTCCATAGATTTGAAAGTGAACAGTCCTAAATTCATTACTGGACTATGGGTTCTCCCATCGAAAAGTGTTTGCCTGCTGTGCGCTCAAGCAAAGAACCCAGAAGTGGGGGGCAGGGGGGACCCCAGAAAGGACTTATAGAAAATAGGAGAAGATGGAAGATGGCTGACGACAAAGAAATAACAAATTCCGTCATCAATTGGATTTGTGTTTCTCAAAGAACATTTTGTATGTGGATGCACAATTTTTAATATTTTTAGATGCAAATTAGTAAATATTGGCTGTTTTCCTTTGCTCGAAAATATGTCTCTATTTCGATTCCCCAGAAAAACAGAACCAATAGAATGTAGGAAAATGATAGGTAGATAGGTGGATGGATAGATAGATAGGTAGGTAGGTAGATAGTTAGATAGATAGATGATATTTAGATAGATAGATAGATAGATAGATAGATAGATAGATAGATAGATAGATAATGGATAGATAACTTTAAGGAATTGACTCACGCTGCTGCGGGGTCTAGCAAGTCTGAAGCCTGCAGGGAAGGCCAGCAGGCTGGAGACCCAGAAAGGAAATAACAGTGCAGCTTGAGTCTGAAGACAGCCTAGAGACAGAAATCCTTCTTCCTCGGGGAACCTCAGTCTTTTCTCCTAAGGACTTCAACTCATAGGATGAGGCCCACCCATGTCATGGACAGTCACCTGCTTTAATCATACTTTACTGATTTAAATGTTAATCTATTTATGAAACACCTTCACAACAACATCTAGACTGCTGTTTGACCAACTCTCTGGGTACCGTGGCCTAGCCAAGCTGACACATGAAATTAACCATCACAATATCACAATGCTCAATCTGAGGTTCTCTACAAAAAATTAGAACAGAATTATCTTTTGTGTAATATCTTATAATTCAAAGCATTTTACATTATTGTTTTGATCTTTGAAACATTATGGCCTGAAAATCTGCAATTAGAACCTCTTGGAAATTGAAAAAAATAAATAAATAAAGCACCTTTTCCAAAAGTTTAGGTTCTTTGTCTGGAACTTGTAATACAATTGCCACAGTTAATGTAACAAATGGTTTTATTTCACCTGCTTAATCCATCATGTGCCTGAAGATGATAAGACTTGTGGTTCTCTTTCAGATACACCTAATCATTGTTTGTAACCCTATGTCTAAGGGGAAATACATTCTAAACCATGAATCAAAACACCAGTAATATCCTGCCTGTGCTGGCCTCCCTGTAAATGAGTTGTGACTGGGGAGACTCAAGACAAACAGACATAGGAAGGGTGATGATGATGCGCTTGGTCACCTGTAACTTCTTTGCTCTCTATATTTGCATAATTATGAAAAGCAACCACTCTACATTTTCATTAGCTAATATTCTGTAATCCAAACAATCCTGGAACCCAAGTATTCATCCCAGGGCACAAAAGAAAAGCATTCTAGAAAGAGAATCTTGGGGCCAGGTGCAGTGGCTCACGCCTGTAATCCCAGCACTTTGGGAGGCCGAGATGGGCGGATCACTTCAGATCAGGAGTTCGAGACCAGCCTGGCCAACATGGTGAAACCCCGTCTCTACTAAAAATACAAAAATTAGCTAGGTGTGGTGGCACGCACTTGTAATCCCAGCTACGTGGGAGGCTGAGGCAAGAGGATCGCTTGAACCCAGGAGGTGGAGGTTTCAGTGAGCCAAGATCATGCCACCACACTCCAGCCTGGGCAACAGAGCAAGACTCTGTCTCAATTAAAAAAGAAAAGAAAAGAAAAAAGAGAACCTTCAACCATGTGTTTTCATATAAAGGTTCTTTGTTAAGCTAGGGCCACCCGTCTAGATAGAAGTAGAGGAGTAGTTTAAAATGGAAGAATAGAAGCACTCACTTGTGATGTGAAAAATTCAAGTTGTTTTTTGTCTTTGAATACCTAAAAGCATGGAAATAAGGACAGAAGATCTAAATGGTGTAATGGAAAAGGAAGCCTACACATTTCAACTATGCACCAGCACCGTTACTGTTTTACTGGGATGGAGCCGTAAAGAAAAGCTTCCAAACTGATAATAGCGGCAGATACAATGCTATGTATTTATCAGATCTCATTTTATTTTCCTTTTCCCAGCCCACATTCCCCAGCCTGCTAGCAGTTAGGGACGGGTGACTGGGTGCTACTTGTGAGGACCTGTTGGAAGTTACAGAAGCCACACTCAGGCCCAGCGGTGACCCACCCCACCCCGACCGGCAAGATTGTCCACAATCTGCGATCTCATTTTCTTGGCAGTCTCAAAGGCCACACATTTAAGTTTGCAATGTCACGAGATAAAAGGACCCTGGGGCCCTGAGACACTGCTTGATAAAGAGTCACCAAAGAAAAACATCTGCCCAGCATGACATGAGGAAGACAAACCCTTTATCACGAAGCCACTGAAATAGGTGGTTTATTTATTAGACAGTATAACCTACCCTGTCCTGATAGAATATATCACCTAATTCTTGCTATCTGACTGTAGAAAGGAATCAACATTTTTAAAAGGACTGTATTCTGAAGTAAATTTGTCATGTGGAACATTATTCAGAGAACAGCAAATACCGTAACAGGTCACGTAAACTTCACAGCAGCATCGCCACGCATACAGAAGCCTCCTTCATTCAGCTGTATCTTGCACTGGCCAAACGTTCAGTATGCCATTCAGTTCCTCCACGGCCCAGCCATTTCCTCCCTCTCTAGCGTCTTCTTGCTCTCTCTGCTTCTCATTCTGTTTCTAGAAATGCCAAGCCACCTGTGGTTCCCTGCATGAGCCCCACCTTTCATAACTCTGCTCGTTCTATTCCTCCTGTGTGGACCTTTTTCCTCAGCCATCCTTAACTGGTCCATCCATCAAGATTCAACCAGAGGGCCGGGGGCAGTGGCTCATGCCTGTAATCCCAGCACTTTGGGAGGCTAAAATGGGTGGATCACCTGAAGTCAGGAGTTCGAGACCAGCCTGGCCAACATGGTGAAACCCTGTCTCTACTAAAAATACAAAAAGTAGCCAGGCATGGTGGCAGGTGCCTGTAATCCCAGCTATTTGGGGGACTGAGGCAGGAGAATCACTTGAACCTGGGAGGCAGAGGTTGCAGCGAGCTGAGATCGCACCATTGCACTCCAGCCTGGGTGACAAGAGCGAGACTCTGTCTCAAAAAAAAAAAAAAAGAGATTCAACCAGAGAAGTAGAATCATTCAATGTGATCTCAAACAAAGGATTTATTACAGGATTTGACTCCCCACCCCCACCCATGCAATCGTAGGAGCTGGTTCAACAGTTTACACACATCTGTTGTTTCTGCATCTGGCTCTGGGCCTGAAGTCAGCAGGGCAGGAAGTTAGGAAGGAAAGAGGCTTGAAGTGGGGAGAGCCAGAGCAAACCAGAACTCACCTGGGTAAGCTGGGAGCCCGGAAGGGTGAAGCAGAGCCCATGCTGGTCACTTACAAGGGAAGCTGGCACCTTCCATCACGGAGCTAGACACACACCTGGCCTAGGAGTCAGAGACGTCGAAGGCGCTGCCTCACCTCAACAAGGGAAGTCTGTGGATCTGCAAAAACAAGCGTGAGCTACCCGGCTCCACATTGACACAAGGAACATCTACACAGCTGCTGCCTTCCTTCTACCCTCCAGACCTCGTGCACATTTCTCATGGGGTCAGTCTGAGCCCAGAGCCACACAGGGAAGGGAATTCTGGGAAATGCGGTTCCAGCTTAGTTCATTGGATAAGTCCAAGGTCACCACCTTGGCTAACTTCTCCTGGCTCCTTTAAGACTCATCTCAGACCGTACCCTCCTGGGGACATTATCTTCAGCTCCAAGATTATGCTCATTGTCCTTCCTCTGTGCTGTCTTAGCATTCTGTACACACCATCATCACAGCATTTAACGCCTAATATTTAAATTGCTTATTTGTATGTCTATCTCTTCAGCTGGACTATAAGGTTCTTGAGGGCAGGGCTATGTCATATTCATTTTTCTGTCCCCAGCAGTGTCTGCACATAGTAGGTCTTTAATAAACATGGAGCGGAACCGTGGGCATGCATGCCCTCAAGGATTTACTGCTACCACTCCACAAATAAGGATCATATGTAAAAACCTAGGTGAAGAGTGGAAGGAAAATTCCCATATCCTCTCTCAAGCATACCCTAGAGCATATCAGTAATGCACTCAAGAGGGTTACAATGGGGAACAGCCACCCTGACTGTGGGCTGAGGATGGGCGAGTTTGGAATAGAAACTACTATTGAACATTTCTCAAATGCCAGGCATTAAATATTTCACATGCTTGGACTCATTTTGATTCTCACAAGAACTGCATAAGGTGGGTATTATTACTCCCAAGAAGGATACAGAGCTATTAAGTAATCTGCCCACAGCTGGTCCAAATCACAGCTGGATTTCAAAACCCGCGCTCATTCTGCTGCCCTGCGTTTCCGCCCCAGCCCGGGCTGGGGACTGCAGGTGGCTGGAGTGACACTGACTCCGAGGGGCCTTACACTAGAAGCGAAGGAAGTGGCGCCATCAGCTGGTGTTTTTCAAAGGCCAGAGGTGCTTATAAACAACCCTCCCTTCACGGCCCCACCCTCCTCCCACAGGGGCAGTCAGCAGGGTGGGGCCAGGCCGGCGTCCAAAACACCACTCCCCACCCCTGCACACCCCGAGGCTACTCAGGCTTCAGGCGGGCATGCCCTCCCTTCCAGCTTCTTCCTCCCTCCCACGGCTTTTCCTAACCCTGGCGTTCCCTGCTGTTCCACTGCTGAAGGCTGCCCGGGATAATCACGCTTTCACTAGAGCCCTCCAGGAATGCCAGGGAGTGGACCCTGGAGACCCTAAATACCCCTGAGACTGCCTGACACTCTTCCCAAGCTCTTCTACGGTGACTACGTGGTCCTTCCAATTGATCGGCTTTCTGAATAAGCCCGATCCCTTTGGGAAGACCATGGTGAGCAGTGTGCTGGGGTGGCTCTTGGACTCAGACAAGCTTGAGTGCAAGTTCTTGCCACGCTACTTACTGTGTGATCCCAAGTAAGCTGCTTAACCGTTCTGGGATACAAAGACAACACCCCCTCCTTGGGTGGTTGTTAGGGTACGTGCAACGGAGGCATGGAAAACCCTTAGCACAGATCCTGGCCCGCCGTGGCTGCTGTCACTGAGGTCGTGTTGTGGCCGCGGCTGCTAAGAGCACTGTCAGCATGGGAGAGAGTGGGCTCAGCCCGGTTATGATTCTCCTGCTGGATCACGTGGCACACAGGAGACTCAACAATGCAGCTACAATACAACCACTCCCATTTCTCAATTTGAAAAACAAGCCCTGCTTCTTCTTTTGATCAAAAGTGATTCGTTCATTCACTTGAACAGCTACTGTGTGCCAACCACCGGGACCCGCACTGGAGGTGGGGAAATATCTAAAGATATTGAAGACATCTTTCCTGGCCTCAAGGAGCTTTTGGTCTAAGTTTTCCTTTAAAGAAAGGCATTTGGGCTGTGTTAATAAGGGGTTAACAGCAGCTCTCTCTGTCTTTATCCATTTGCAGCTCAGCAGCGGTAAATTCTCATCTGAACTGCAATTGACCCTGTGCACACAATCATGTTATTCATATTCTTATAAACAGAGGGTACAGTATGTATAATTTCCTAGATTTCTGGGAGGGGATGTATCATAACTAAACTCCAACTTTTCCTTTGGAGAAACAGTCCCATTTGTTTCTGGTTAGCTTCAAAGCAAAAACTAATTTTTTCCTTCTATGTGTCAGTAACTCGAGTGAAATTTGTCACTTGTTTTTATGAAAAATTCTTTGCCATTACCTTCATTGCTTGAAATAAAAAAAAATTGAAAAGAAAAAAAAAACCACCCACTACAACTCACACTCCCTGCGTGGTACAAGGCACTTGAAACGCAATGACAGAATGGTGGTGTCATTTCTAGTCATGGAAACTAACAAGAGTCTCCCGGAATGGCCTCAAATTCATCCATCAAGAATCTATTTTCTAGTACCTACTATGGGAGCAAGACCACTGGTGACATCTTGTTCCAATTTAAGCAAGGTTGAGCTGTGGGCCAGCTCCTTCAAATCATAACCAGCACAGAAATTGCCTCCTACCAAAAAACCACAAGGGTTAGACTCTGTAAGAATGAATCCCAGAAAAGCTGGAACTCTCAAGTCCAAGCATATTTCTGAAGCAATCCAGTCAAGAACAGCATTTTCATTTTCTTTCTTTGGAGGATTTCTTGTTTGTCCTAGGATGAAGTTGAAGTGTGGTTGGGGATGAAGGAAGAGCAGCTTTATTTTGCTCCAAAAGAACTAACAACTCCTTCACCACCTTACCTTGAGCCAGAGCTATTTAGAAAATGCTCAATCTATTTTTACCTTTCTATATATGTATTTAATAGAGATACCATTTTATTAGTAAATTACCAAAAACATGAGCTGATGCTCTCTCAGCGGTGACTCATCGTGAATGGGACATTTTCCTAGAGACATAGCTATCCCCAGGGAAAAACCTCCTCTGAGCTGTTATTTTCTAATGTGGGGCATGCCTTACTATAGGGCTAAGAGAATTGTGACATTTAGGGAGGTTCCCTGTCTACATCCTGAATTCCAAACGTTATTATATGCACCATGGCTTTGAAGTCTGTTTATTTGACCCCTTTAAGTTCAAGTAGCCAAAGATCGAAGCAACAAATAGGAGTGGCCCTGAGATGACTCGAAGATGTTGGGTACACCCAGGATGAATGAGGAGCAGTCGATTCACATTTAGGATCCACGAGAGTAATGTGTGTGTCACTGTGGGGGATGACAGAAGAGATGGAGGAGGGAGGGAGGGTGCTGAAGGCAGTGGTCCGTGGTGGCCACCATGACCTGGGGCTACCTGCAGTGGCTCCTGTAATGGAGATGGGGAGCACTGGTTGTAGGGAACCAGCTGGCTCTACAGACCCCTGAGATGGTCACTAGTGCAATTGGCTGAATTATGTCCCCCCAAAATTCATATGCTGAAATCTTAACCTTCAGTGCCTCAGAATTTGACTCTATTTGAAGATGGAGCCCTAAAAGAGGTAATTAAGTGAAAGTGAGGCCATTAGGGTGGGACTTAATCTAATCTCACTGGTGTCCTTATAAGAAAAGGAAATTAGGACCCGGAGACACACAGAGGGAGGACCAGGTGGGGACACAGGGAGAAGATGGCATCTACAGCTCAGGAGAGTGGCCCCAGGAGGAACCAACCCTGCCAGCACCTGGATCTTGGACTTCCAGCCTCCCGGCACCTGGATCTTGGACTTCCAGCCTCCCGGCACCTGGATCTTGGACTTCCAGCCTCCGGAACGGGGAAGAAATAAAGTCCTGTGTAACGACCCTAGTCTGTGGCCCTGGCAAACAGTAGTACAATTAGCTACTGGGATTTGCAGAGCCAAATTCTCCTGGAATTGCTGCCAAACTTCAGATGTTTCCAAAATTGTCTTATATAAAGCAAATTGAGAAAAGCCTTTCTTTGGGATTTTAAAATTAGGGAAAATGGTAGTATTTGAGAAGCTTTATGATCACTCATTTATTTCTGCTTTTTCCTCGCCTCTCTCCTTGTCGAATGCTGGGCCTCCACCACCTCAGCTTCCTCTCTCTCCCGGCCCTTTTGAATCCTGGTCACCTGGTGTCATCTCCCCACCATACCTCTGAACATGCCACAGGTCACCAACAGCACCTCTGGGCCACCTGCAAATGCTTACAGCATTTGACCAAATTATTACTCCTTTTTTTCCTAATTTTTTAAACAGAAGAAATACTTGTATTCTGCAAAAAATTGACACACTGCAAAAACATGGAGTTAAAAGTAAAGCCCAAACCTCTGTTTCTTAACCTCTGCCTCCTTAAAACAGTGGCTGTCAACCAGGGGCAATTCTGCCCCCAGGAGGACATTTGGTAATGTCCAGAGATATAGTTGGTTGTTATAACTGGGTAGAGTGGAGTGTGCTACGGCGTCTAGTGGGAAGAGGCCAGGGAAGCTGCTAAACATCCTACAACGCAGAGCTGCCCCCAGCACAAAGAATAATCTCCCCAAATGTTAGCCATGTCCACATTTGAGAATCCCTGCCTCGGGGTAGCATAAAAATGTGCCCTACTCTTACCTTCTGTGATACTGCATTGGTGTTTTCTTCTATGTTTTGTTTTTGTGTTTGTGTTTTTGTTTAGAGATAGAGTCTTGCTCTGTTGCCCAGGCTGGAGTGCAGTGGTGCAATCATAGCTCACTGCAGCCTCTAGCTCCTGGGCTGAAGCGATCCTCCCATCTCAGCTTCCCGAGTAGCTGGGACTACAACTGTGCCAGCACACCCGGCTACATTTTTTTCATTTTATTTTTAAATTAATTAACCAGACACAAAGAAACTTTTTTTTTTTTTTTTTTTTTTTTTTTTTTTTGGAGAGATAGGGTCTTGCTCTGTTGTCAAGGCTGGTCTTGAACTCCTGGCCTCAAGGGATCCTCTTGCCTAGGCCTCCCAAAGTGCTGGGATTACAAATGTGAGCCACCAGGCTGAGCCTTGGACTGAATTTTACCCCTTCAAAATTCATAGGTTGCAGCTCTAACCCGCAATGTGACTGTGTTTGGAGACAGGCCCTTTGTGGAGGTAATTAAGGCTAAACAAGGTTATATGTATGGGGCCCTAATCCAATAAGACTGGTTTCCTTATAAGAAGAGGAAGAGACACCAGGGCTCTCTCTATCTCCACACAACAAAGAGAAAAGGCCAAATGAGGACACAGTGAGAAGGCAGTCATCTGCAGGACAGGAGGAGATATCTCACCAGAAACCAACTCAGCTGTCACCTTGATCTTGGACTTCCAGCCTCCAGAACTGTGAGAAAATACACTTCTGTTGTTGAAGTCATGCAGTCTGTGCTATTCTGTTATTGCAGCCCAAGCTAATACACCTTAGCTTGTCTTCTTTCCATGTCTTCACATGGTCTTCCCACTGTGCATGCACATTTCTGTGTCCTGATTTCCCTCTTGTTGTAAGGACACCAGTCATATTAAATTATGACCCACCCTAATGACCTCTTTTTAACCTAATTACCTCTTTAAAGACCCTATCTCCAAACAGTCACATTCTGAAGTTCTAGGGTTTAGGGCTTCGACGCATGAATTTAGTGATGGAGGGAGCACAATTCAGCCCATATGAGGCAGCATCTAAAGTAACCCCACAGGAGCTATCACAAGGCCAGGTACATACCTGCTCTGTGGAACTCTGTCCATGAGTCCAGGCCATCCACAATCACATTCTCATACCCTTTAGAATTTTTAGGCATGAATAAAACATCAGTCCACCATGCCCCTTCGGCTCTGTGAATTAAATGTCTAGCTCCTTGAGATCCCATTAAAGCTCCCCTCCCTGGCCTGGAAGTGAGGGAAAGGGAGGAGGCATCTCCATCCCTTCCCCACGAAGTGTGAGCAGAAGTCACAGAGTGCTAAGCACGCTCTCCAAACACCTTCTGTGATTTCAGACCTCCTGGATAACTGCCTCAACTCTTTGATACTCTTGGATAGACACGTGGCCAAAAGTTACAAAACTGCTTTTTGGAAATCTCTTTTACAATTCCCACATAGCGATCTTCCTTCGGCGGGTCAGAGAAGTGGGCATCTGCTATAGTGGTGACCTAGCTGAATCTGAAACAGAAATAGCTGCACTTAGAATCCACTTACAAGTATAGTCCTTAGGATGTCTTCAGCTGCAAGTGGTAGAAAATCCTAATTGGCATTGATACAACTAATAAGGGGCTTAATATGTCACATAAGAAGCACCCAAGGAGGGCAGCTCTAGGCCCATCAGGACGTCAGCTCATTTCTGTGATTTTCATGGCTTCATGTGTTGGTTTCATCCTGAGACTGGCTGCAAGATGGCTGTAGCAACCACTGACACATTGTGTAGACAGAACAGGGGCTGCTGATCATTGTGCAGAAGTCGCCCCAAGGACATCTTCTCAAGTCCCATTGGCCAGAATAGGGATACATGCCCTCCCTTGAACCAGCCACCTACGAGGAGAATGGGATTGCCATGATGAGCTCAGTCTTAGGATTTCTACCTCCTGCATAGTTCCCAAGCGTGTCCAGAGTGAGATGAGATGATCAGCTCTACTGCCCCCACCACCCCCAAATACAGACCCCGGGGAGAACCTGTGCCAGCTCACAGGACTAATCAGGTAAACTAGAGCCATCTTACACTGTCTAAGGCTCCCGCCCTGCTTCCACTCTAAGGAAGCCAAATGAGGGGGAGAGAAGAAGCAGCACCAGCCGGTGTTATTTTAAAGGTATACTGACTCCCGTGCATTTAAAGGAGGGTCTGATAACCAAAAAACATTGATGCTGAGATGGGAATTTGGAGCTGGATCACCTCCTGCCCAGCTGCCAATGAGGACCCCACTGTAGGTAGCAGCAGGAGGAGCACAGATCGTCCCGGGTCCAAGATAGCCACTAAGTCAGTGAAGCTTTCACCAGAGGCGCACGTGGTGGCATACCAGTGAAGGCCAGTGCAGGTGTGTGCTCGACTCAGTGCATGCACATTTCTAATAGGTGATTTTTCTAGGAAAGTGTAAATTGTGAAACCAACCTCAGAAGAGAAAAAAATGACAGACTAATTACCGTAAGAGGAATTAAGACATCTGTCAAAGAGCTAACCAAACTGGGGTGTGTGCACACACATATACACACCCAGAAAAGCTCAGATGGCCTCACAGAGACCTAAATCTGTAAGGATTAAATAACCCCCAAACCTATTTAAACTTTTTGGAGCAAGTACAAATAAGACAACATCCCAATTCTTTTTTGTAAATGAAGTTTCCCTGCATTCATATAAAAATCTGTTTAAGATAATAGAAGAAAACTCCAGGCCAATCACACATAGGAATATTGATGGAAAAAAAATTAGTATCAGGAAGTCTATTAATGTAATCACGCATGATATGATCTTGCTATAAAACAGGAGCAAATCAATTGAAACATATAACAAACAACACAAAAATATTACAGAAGGTGGCTAATTACATACAAAGAGACCAGTCCAGAAAAAGTCGGAAGAAAATTCTATTTTCCAATACAGTTATACACCACATAATGGCATTTCGGCTGATAATGGGCCACATATACAATGGTGGTCCCATAAGATTTTAATACCATATTTTTATCCTACCTTTTCTATGTTTAGATATGTTTACATACACAAACACTTAATGTTGTGTTCCCATTGCTTACAGTCTTCAGTATAGTCACATGCTGTACAGGTTTATAGCCTAGGAGCAATAGGCTATACCATACAGCCTAGGAAAGTAATAGGCTGTACCATCTAGGTTTGTGTGAGTACACTCTAAGATGCTCCCACAATGACAAAATCACATTTCTCAGAATATATACATGTCTATAATTAAACATGAAATAAAAAACCATTGCCTAAGCCAAGTTCAAAAGGTTTACTCTTTTCTTTTCATCTATAGTTTTATAGTTTTGGATCTAAATTAGTAATGTCAAAGATATTAGATATATATAAGCAAAATTTGTCAAGTAAGATTTGAACAGATGAGAAAAGATACACTGTTTTGGAACAAGAAGCCCTAATTTTATTAAATATCAATTATCCCCAAATGAATCTATACAGTTACTATAATTTCGGCTGGGCACAGTGGTTCACACCTGTAATCCTAGCACTTTGGGAGGCCGAGGCAGGTGGATCACCTGAGGTCAGGAGTTCAAGACAAGCCTGGCCAAAATGGCAAAACCCCGTCTCTACTAAAAATACAAAAAATTAGCTGGGTGTGGTGGCCAAAATGGCAAAACCCCGTCTCTACTAAAAATACAAAAAAGTAGCTGGGGTGACCTGTAATCCCAGCTACTCGGGAGGCTGAGGCAGGGAAAATTGCTTGAACCCAGGAGGCGGAGGTTGCAGTGAGCTGAGATCGCACCACTACAGTCCAGCCTGGGCAACAGAGCAAGACTCCATCTCAAAAAAAATAAAAAGAGCTTACTATAATTTCAACAAAAATACTAATCAGAATTTTTTAAGTACATGATAAATTGCATTCCTATGATCCTGAATTGGTTGTATTCTCTTTAATGTGCTGCTGAATACCCTTTGCTAATATTTTAGAATTTTTGCATTGATATTGTTTAAGAAATTTGGATGAAATCGTAACTATAAGGACAATGGAATCGGATGGTTATTCCCAAGGTCAGTTCAATTCTGGAAAAAAAGATAATGAAAAGCTGAAAATGATAAAACTGGCCAATAAAAGTTAAGTGTGACCAAGACAGTTACATGGTGCAACAATAGTCTTTTCAGCAAATGGTGCCGGACAACTGGAAATCCACATTCAAATGAACCAAGTGGGACTCTTGCCCCACACCATATACAAAAATTAAGGCAAAATGCAACACAGACCTAAATGTAAGATCTAAAACTACAAAACTCTCAGAGAAAACATAAATTTAGTAGGCAATGGCTTCTTAGATATGACATCAAAAGCACAAATGACAAAAGAAAAAAATAGATAAATTGGGCTTCATCAAAATTAAAACCTTCTGCATACCAAATGACTCCATTGAGAAAGTGAAAAAGCAACCCATAGGATGAGAAAAAAAATTGCAAATCATATATCTGATAAGAGACTTGTATCTAAAAACTTCTATGTGTACATAAAAACTCTTACAACTGAATAATAGAAAACAGCCCAAATTTGAAATGACCAAAGGATTCGAATAGACATTTCTCCAAAAAAAAAGATATACAAATGGCCTGGTCAATGTACACATGAAAAGATGCTCAATATCATTAGTTATTAGAGAAATGCAAATCAAAACCACAATGAGAGACCACATCACACTTGCTAGGAGACTGTACTCAAAAAGACAGACAATAACAAGCGTCGGTGAGGATGTGGAGGGATTGGAGCCCTCATACACGCTGGGGAGAATGTTAAATAGGGCTGCTGCTTTGAAGTTTTTTTCTTCCAACTTTTATTTTAGATTCAGAGGGTACATGTGCAGGTTTGCTACCTGGGTATATTGCATGATGCTGAGGTTTGGGGTACAATTGATCCCATCACCCAGGTACGGAGCACAGTACCCAATAGTTAGTTTTTCAACCCTTGCCCTCCTCTCTCCCTTCTTTCTCTAGTAGCCTATTTGTTTCCATCTTTTTTTTTTTTTTTTTTTTTTGAGACAGAGTCTCACTTTCTCATCCATGCTAAAATGCAGTGCTGCAATTGCAGCTCACTGCAGACTCAGCCTCTTGGGCTCAAGCGATCTTCCCACCTCAGCCTCCTTAGTAGCTGGGACCACAGGTGTGAACTACCATGCCTAGCTAATTTTTTATTTTTTGTAGAGATGGCGTCTTGCTATCTTGTCCAGCCTGGTCTTGAACTCCTGAGTTCAAGGAATCCTCCCACCTTGGCCTTCCAAAGTTCTGGGATTGCAGGCATGAGCCACCTCACCTGGCCTGTTGCTATCTTTATGTCCATGCATACCCAATGTTTAGCTTCAATTTATAAGTGAGAACAGGCAGTATTTGGTTTTCTGTGCCTGCATTAAATTCCTTTAGGATCATGGCCTCTAACAGCATCCATGTTTCTGCAAAGGACATGATTTCATTCTTTTTAATGAATTTCATTATTTTTTATGGCTGCATAGTATTCCACGGTGTATATGTACCACATTTTCTTTATCCAGTCCACCATTGATGGACTCCTAGGTTAATTCCATCTTTGCTATTGTGAATAGTGCTGCAATGAACATGTGATTGTATGTGTCTTTTTGGTAGAATGATTTATTTTCCTTTGGATATATACCCAGTAATGGGATTGCTGGGTCAAATAGTTTAAGTTTTAAATGATTAAATGGTTTATGTTTAAGTTTCAAGTGGTTTATGTTTTAAGTTCTTTGAGAAATCTCCAAACTGCTTTTTCCACAGTGGCGGAACTAATGTGCATTCCCACCAACAGTGTATTAAGTGTTCCTGTTTCTCTACAGCCTCACCAGCATCTGTTATCTTTTTATTTTTTAGTAATAGCCACTCTGAGTGGTAAGAGATGGTATCTCATTGTGGTTTTGATTTGCATTTCTCTGATGATTAGTGATGAGCATTTTTAAATATGTTTGTTGGCTGCTTGTATGTCTTCTTTTGAGAAGTGTCTGTCCATGTCTTTTGCCCATTTTTAAGTGGGGTTATTTGGTTTTTGCTTGATCAATTGTTTAAGTTCCTTATAGATTCTGGATGTAAGACCTTTGTCAGATGCATAGTTTGCAAATATTTTCTCCCATTCTGTAGGTTGTCTGTTTTACCCTTTTTTTTTTTTTTTGATGGAATCACACTGTTGCCCAGGCTGGAGTGCAGTGGCACAATCTCAGGTCACTGCAACCTCCACCTCTTGGGTTCAAGCAATTCTCCTGCCTCAGCCTCCCAAGTAGCTGGGACTACAGGCATCTGCCACCATGCCCAGCTGATTTTTGTACTTTTAGTACAGATGGGGTTTCACCATGTTGGCCAGGGGCTGGTCTTGTACTCCTGACCTCAAGTGATCCACCCATTTTGGCCTCCCAAAATGCTGGGATTACAGGCAGGAAACACCACGCCCAGCCTGTTTATTCTTTGATAGTTTCTTTTGCTGTGCAGAAGCTCTTTAGTTTAATTACATCCTATTTGTCAATTTTTGGTTGTGTTTCAATTGCTTTTGAGGACTTAGTTGTAAGTTATTTCCTAAGGCTGATGTCCAGAATGGTGTTTCCTAGGTTTTCTTCTAGGATTCTTATAGTTTGAGGTCTTATATGTAAATATTTAATTCATCTTCAGTTAATTTTTGTAAATGGTGAAAAGTAGGGGTCCAGTTTCATTCTTCTGCATATGGCTAGCCAGCTATCCCAGTACCATTTATTGAATAGGAAGTCCTTTCCTCATTGCTTCTTTTTGTTGATTTTGTCAAACATCAGATGGCTATGGGTACGTGGCTTTATTTCTGGGTTCTCTATTCTGTTCCATTGGTCTACATGTCCATTTGTACTATACTGTTTTGATTACTATAGCCTCATAATATAGTTTGAAGTCAGGGAGTGTGACGCCTCTGGCTTTGTTCTTTTGCTTAAAATTGCTTTGGCTATTCAGGCTTTTTTTTTGGTTCCATGTGAATTTTAGAATAGTTTTTTCTAGTTTTGTGAAAAATGATGCCTGTAGTTTGATAGGAATAGCACTGAACCTGTAAATTGCTTAGAGCAGTATGGCTATTTTTATGATATGAATTCTTCCAAACCATGAGTGTGGAATGTTTTTTCATTTGTATCATCTACGATTTCTTTCAGCAGTGTTTTGTGTTTGTCCTTGTATAACACTTTAACCTCCCTGTTAAATGTATTCCTAGATATTTTATTATTTTTCTGCAGCTGTTGTAAATGGGATTGCATTCTCAATTTGGCTTTAAGCTTGAATGTTATTAGTATAGAAATGCAACTGAGTTTTGTACAATGATTTTTGTATCCTGAAACTTTACTGAAGTTGTTTATCAGTTCTAAGAGCCTTTTGGCGGAGTCTCTAGGGTTTTCTAGGTATAGAATCGTATCATCAATGAGGAGAGATAGCTTGACTTCTCCTCTTCCTATTTGGATGCTTTTATTTCTTTCTCTTGCCTGATTGCTCTAAGACTTCAAGTACTATGTTGAATAGTACTGGTGAGAGTGGTCATCCTTGTCTTGTTCCAGTCCTCAAGGGGAATTCTTCCAGCTTTTGCCTGTGGGTTGCTGCTTTGAAAAACAGTTTGGCAGTTCTTTAAAATGCTAAACATAGAGCTATCATATGATCCAACAATTCCACTTCTTGGTATATGCCCAAGAGAAATGAAAAATGTATGTCTACACAAAAACTTGTACATGAATGTTTGTGGCAGTGTCATTCACTAATAGCCGAAAAGTGGAATCAAATGTACACCAACTGATGAATGAATAAGCAAACTGTGATATATTCATTCAATGGAATGCTATTTGACAATAAAAAGAAATGAAGTATTGATACATGCTACAACATGGATAAAACTTGAAAGCATTATGTTCAATTAAAGAAGAGAGTCACAAAGAACCAAATATTATATGATCCCATTGGCATAAAATGTCCAGAATAGGCAAATCTACATGGTAGGAAGTGATCCGTGGTTGCCAGAGAGTAGGGGAAGGAGTGAACAGGGAATGACTGTTAATGGGTATGGGATTTCTTTTAATGTGGATGAAAATGTTTTTAAATTAAATTGTAGTGATGATTGCGCAATCCTGGGACTATACTAAAAAACATTAAATTGTACACTTTAAATAAGTGAATGTGTGGTTTGTGAATTATATCACAATAAACATGTTAAAAGGAAAACAAGGCCAAAATATATTCTCCTCTCCTGTAGTGGAGGGGCAGAGAAAGCTAAACTAGACTTGGGGTTCACATTAGAATAGTAACGGAGCTCAACAGAAGATTGAGCACCAAGGCAGGTCACCTCCATCAAGGTCGGGGCACGGTCTGAGAAACGACAGGACCCTGATACATGAGATGAGGACATCTGAGTTGATGCACCCAAAACTCTCACATCTCCAGATTTCCCTAAAGCCTCTGAGCCCTCAGAGTGGCTCACCTCTCTCTGCTAAGGGCTGGCACTCCCCACGTGCTTGAAAACTACACAAGGGCTTCTTTCCACAAGATAACGTGCCTCCCCTTTCCCACTGAGAGTCAGTCCCATTTCCCCTTCTTGCCACTGAGCCAAGAAGCAGGGTTAAGTCTCTGTCTCACAGGGCTGGGGATGTGCTGGGTCTGCTGAAAATGGAAAGAAATTGTACCAACGAGGAGCAGCAGTACCTCACCTTCAAGTAGTATCAGAAGGTGGGAGAACCACTGAGGCTGAACTCTGAGGGTGCATTATCCGGGGAGTCAGAACTCAAGGCTGGATGAGGGTTTATTTGTTTGGGAGCCCCCTTCTGGGATACAGGATTTAACATACTGCCAAGAATCCAGGAGATGGTGCACACACACCCTGGAAGCAATGAAAAAAGCAATGGTCCACAGTGAGTGAGGTAGAAATGGCAGAGACTCCATGGCAGATGGCGGCCAGGGGGAATGAAAAGCTCAGAGAAATGGGTGTGCTGGGGTGAACTCTGTTATGGGAGAATCCCAGAGGACACACCGTTCTCCAAGCACTAAGGATCTTGCTGGGGCAATATGCTCCATGGCCCTCTGGAGATCAATGGTGGTGCTGAGGACATGCTGACACAGAACTGGGTCACTGGTAGGAAAGGGGTGGTGAGTTCCCCCTGCACCAAACAGAGGCCAGGTGGTGGCATGTCACTGTCCAAAGCCACGCGGATGCAATGATCACAGTGAGTGGCAGGTCAGAAGGGCAGCCAGGGACCACGACCCACAGAGAGTTAGAGAAAGAATTAATAGGACACAGTGTCCCTAGAAGCCAAGTAGATGGGCAGCCACAGGACACAACTCACTCTGCACAAACAAAAGAAATCAAGGATGGATGAGTTGGAGGCTGAGGACAGTTGCCCCCAAAACAGTCATGATCAATTTTTCTGTTTCTAGACCTAAGACAATTTTTAGACCCAGGACCCATTGATGAATAGAAAGCCTGAGTCCAAAGGGAGAAGAATGCTGAGCAATCATAGGAAGTATACATGGTAATGAGTCTCCCAGTTCTTCCAGAGGGACCTGCAGCCATTTACTCAGGTAAATGGACACTAGAGAAAGGGGAATGATCAAACATCCCAAGACTGTTTCTTTCAGGGTCCAAGTTGATGTTGATACCCAGTAACCCAAGGTGGCATCATGCCCACTCACTGTTAGAGAGGGACACACGTGAAGCTTTGGCCTGGCTCGCAGTAGTGCACTGGTTTCCAGGACCCATTCAGGGGTCATTTGCCCGATATCTGAGTGTATAATTGCAATAGGCTTACCCGGTAGTCTCTTCCATCTGTTCCTTGGTCTATGGGGTGAGAGCTCTCCTAGTAGGGAAGGCAAAGTAGAAGCTTTAGAAACTGCCCCTCCCCAGACAACAATAATGTACCCCAGGGAGAATGGCTGAGACTATTGCCAGTCTTAAAAGACCCAAAGGGTCTTTAAGCAGATGTAACGTGGCCTCAGGTCATGACATGTGGCCTTTCACCTGGCAGATGCATTCTCCTCTATCCTCATCAAAAAAAATAGGCTTAGGCCAGGCGTGGTGGCTCATGACTGTAATCCCAGCACTCTAGGAGGCTGAGGAGGATCACCTGAGGTCAGGAGTTCGAGACCACCCTAGCCAGCATGGTGAAATGCTGTCTCTACTAAAAATACAAAAATTAGTTGGGCATGGTGTTGCACATCTGTAATCCCAGCTACTCAGAAGGCTGAGGCAGGAGAATCAATTGAACCTGGGATGTGGAGGTTGCAGTGAGCAGAGATCATGCCACTGTACTCCAGCCTGGGAGACAGAGCAAGACTCCATCTCAAAAAAAAAAAAAAAAAAAAAAAGGCTTAGAAACAGATGGCTACGGTTTGACTATTTGTCCCCTCCAAAGCTTATGTTGAAATTTAATCCCCAATGGGGCAGTATTGAGGTGGGGCCTTTAAGAAGTGATTGGGTTATAAGGGCTCTGCCTCATTTAAATGGATTAACCTATACATAAATGAATGGACTGATAAGCTGATGGTTTACTGGGTTATCATGGGGATGGAACCGGTGGCTTTATCAGAAGAGGAAGAGACACCTGAGCCAGCCTGCTCAGCCCCCTCACCATGTGATACCCTGCACCACCTCAGGACACTGCAGAGAATCCCCACCAGCAAGAAGGCCCTCACCAGACGTCACCCCTCGACTTTCGTCTTCTCAGCCTCTGGAACTGTAAGAAATAGACTTCTTTTCTTTGTAAACTACTCAGTTTCAGGTATTCTGTTATAAGCAACAGAAAATGGACTAAAACACATTCATTTGGAAGAGTGAACCATGTTACATTTATGGCCTTGGTACAAGGCTATGTTAATGCTCCCATGTCCTGTCACAATAAAGTCCGAGGAAACCAGGACCAGGTAGGCATCCTGCAGAACAGCACTCTGGTCCACCATATCGATGACATCATGCTAAACGAACTGGATAAGCAAAATGGGCACATGAGCAGAGTGGCAGGGGTGGAGGCTAAGCACATGCCCAATGGCACAGGCTTCCACGTACCAAGTAGATCTAGCTTTTGCCATACTGAATGGCAGACCTGCCAGCAGCAGCACAGAGACCAATGCTGAGCCCCCTGATGTGGTGCTATCCCTCAAGGTGACTAACCAGCCTCTACACAGTGTGTTTACTACTGGATCCCTTCTGCCCAAGAAGGGACAATGATTCATTTTAGCAGGAACAGAAAATATTATGGATATGGGACAGTCTTTTCTGCTCGGAGGCACTCAGTCAACACCACGGCCCAAGAGCTAACAGATGGTTACATCCAGCAGCATAGGAGTCCACATAAGAAAAAGGGATCTTATAAGAAAAAGGGATCCACTTTATAGCAAAGGTGTGTGGAGTGAGCACATGGCTGTGGAATCCACTGGCCAAAGTTTGAACTGTCCCTCTGAGAAGCTGCTGACCTAAGAGAGGAATGCTATGGCATGTGGAAGACAAAACTGACGTGCTAGCTTGGAGGTAATATCTCATGAGGCTGAGTGGCATCCTCTCGGCTGCAGTGTACACTTTAAACAAGTGACATATATATGGTGCTGCATTTTCAACTGAAAGAATACATAGATCCAAGAACCAAAGGGCAGAAGCGGGGTTTCCTTATTTACCATCACTCCCACCTGGGGAATTTGCTCCTCCTATCCCTGCACCTCTGGGCTCTGCAAGTTTAGAGGATCCCAAAGGGGGAAATGTTCTCCCAGTGGACACAGCAAGTCCCATTAAACTCCAAGCTATGATTGAAAACTGGGCCTGTTAGACCCCCTCCTTCCAAAAGATTGGCAGGTGTGAAGAGGGGTGACCATCCTGGCAGGGGATATTAATCCTGATTGTCAGGAGGTTTGGCCATAATGATACAATAGGATCAGGAATAAATAAATCTATCTGCTTGGACATCTTGATCCTCTCTTGATTTTTTTTACTTATATGAACAAATGCGGCAGCTACAGCCTAAGAAAGGCACGGTGACCAGAAGTTCAGATCCTCAAGGATAAAGGGCTGGGTCATGGCCCCAATTAAGCCACAGAGACCAGCAAAGGTCCTAGCTTAAAGGAGGAATCTCAAGAGGAGAGTAGAGGAAGATGTCAATGAACATTAGAACAGTGTCAAAGGCAAGAGCTGCAGTTTATTCCACTGACTTCCATCTTCTAAATTTCCCAGAGGCCCTTTGGAATCCTGGAGGAACTGCACCCAATCCTTATACAAGAAAGTGCATGCAAGCAGCCTGGGAGCGGACTGTGGCGGATGCTGTGACGTGCTGCCCAGACCCCTCCAGCCCACACAGTGATTCCCTCTGCTGAAGAGAGGTGCTTTGTGTGAGGTCACACCACTTCCCAGAGTGCCCCAAATCCAGTGATTGATTCTTATATGCATATAAAGGCCCAGCCCCTTGCCCCAATTAGGGACAACTCTGAAGGCCCATCCCAGGTCCAGAAAAACCTAGAGGATCACTGAGATGGCAGCTCAGCTCAGCTTCTGCCTTCACTCAATTCTGACTCCTTCCCTTCCAGAGCGGTGATCCCAAGAACATCCCTAGTAAACTCCCATACACTCATCTCCATCAAGGAACCCACCTTGTGACAATGGAGTCTTCATCTTCTCTGACATGTACCACAAATGTAATATTCATCAGTCCCCTCTCTGTGCTCTCTCCCAAGAAACAGCAAGAATATGGGCCCCACCAAAACTCAGGAAAGAGCCTGGGATCCAAGAAGCAGGAATCCAGCAAAGGAAAGAGGTGAAAGGAAGCTCCAGCGGGCATCTGGGAAGAGGGCCTGGGGAGTGACCCACTCATTTTGGAGCTGGAGGATAAAGAGGGGTGTCTCCAAGGGGAAGAAAATGCAACCCATAATTACCTGAAGTGCTTAAGCATGCTGAGAACACACTAGGCTTGCACAGCTCCAGCAGGGAATTTGAAGCCTTAGGAACCTATGAAACCAAGCAAATGAACAGAAGAAGAAATAAAACAACTATTAGCATCTGAGAAACCAAAAATTACACAAGAAACAAAATAGAATCTGAGTTCACCACTTGGCTGGGTAGTGAACTCAGAATATGTATATTTGCTTGCTTCTCATAGAGCAAACACTGAATATTGATTTAACAAAAACAATGAAGCTATTAGGAAAATAGAAAGAGAAGCTAGTTTGTATGTGTGGAGGGTGACATGACAGGGCTAACTCCTACTTTCTTCACTCAGAAGCCAATAGATTATATCTAAAGTTGAAAAATAAAAGAGAAAAATACAATAAGCCCGGGTTTTTCATTTGTTTGTTTGTTTGTTTTAGTGACAGAGTCTCGCTCTGTTGCCCAGGCTGGGGTGCAGTGGTGCCATCTCAGCTCACTGCAACCTCAGCCTCCTGGGTTCAAGCAATTCTCCTGCCTCAGCCTCTTGAGTAGCTGGGACTATAGGTGTGCGCCACCATGCCCTGCTAATTTTTTGTATTTTTTAGTGTAGTAGAGACAGGGTTTCACCATGTTGGCCAGGCTGGTCTCGAAATCCTAAGTTCATGTGATCCCCTGCCTCGGCCTTCCAAAGTGCTGGGATTACAGGCATGAGCCACGGCACCCAGCCAAGCCAGTTATTTTGACAGACAAAAAGAAGCGTCATGAAAAAGAACTAAAAAGATTGGAAGTAGCAGCTCTGGTGAGAAGAAATTCAGGGAAGGAAGGGGGAGAAGGAGCTGTTCTTTTCGTTGTAGATTGTGTAGACCTATTTGACTTTTCATAACTATGTACATGTGTCACTTTTAGATAACAAATATTAACTTTTTAAAAGTACAAGAGCTGCCGGGCGTGGTGGCTCACACCTGTAATCCCAGCACTTTGGGAGGCCGAGGCGGATGGATCACTTGAGGTCGGGAGTTTGAGACCAGCCTGCCCAACATGGAGAAACCCCACGTCTACTAAAAATACGAGATTAGCCGGGCATGGTGGCACATGTCTGCAATCCCAGCTACCCAGAAGGCTGAGGCAGGAGAATCGCTTGAACCCGGGAGGCGGAGTTTGCAGTCAGCCGAGATGGCACCATTGTACTCCAGCCTGGGCAACAAGAGCAAAACTTTGTCTCAAAAAATAAATAAATAAAAATAAAAATAAAATAAAAAATAAAAGTACAAGAGCTCCATAAATAATTGATTGACTGATTGACTGACTTGTCTAATATAGACCAATGGTTTATTTTATTTTCAATAAAAAATGCCAGGAAGAAGGAGTAAATTCTCTCACCACCAAATAACTCACAGCTTTTCCCTTCCTGCTTTCACCATAGCCCCCACCTCCCATGACCAGCTGAGCATTAGGAAGCAAGGCAAAGCCAGGGCCCCGATCCTTACAGGCACTCCTGCCTACCCAAGATGCTGCCCCAGCATGCTGGTGCTTCACTGATTTATTTAAGAGACCCTCAAATCCAGTTTTTTCATTCAGAAGCCATTATTCTTTTTTTTCTTAAACATTTCTTGTGGAAATGTTCAAACATGCACAGAAGCTGGGCATGGTGATACCCACCCATAGTCCCAACTACTCCAGAGGCTGAGGCAAGAGAATTGCCTAAGTCCAGGAGCTGGACGCTGCAGTGAGCCATGACCATGCCACTGTATTCCAGCCTGGGTGACAGAGCAAGACCTCATCTCTTACACACACACACACGTGCACACACATGCAAGTGGAGAAACCCCCATTTACCTATTTCCCACCTTAAACAATTACCAACATTTTCCTAATTTATTTGCCTTTCTACCCTCACCCTACCCCATTTATTTTACCTGGAATTTTTTTTTTTTCGAGACATAGTCTCACTGTGTTGCCCAGGCTGGGGTGCAGTGGCGCCATCACGGCTCACTGCAGCCTTGACCTCCCAGGCTCAGATGGTTCTCCCACCTCAGCCTCCCGAGTAGATGGGACTACAGGTATGCACCACAATGCCCGGCTAAGTTTTTAATTTTTTTGCACATCTAGAGTCTCTCTATGTTGCCAAGGCTGGTCTTGAACTCCTGGGCTCAAGTGATTCTCCCTGCCTCAACCTCCCAAAGTACTGAAATTAAAATCATGAGGGACCACTCCCAGCCTGCCTGGAACATTTTAAAGCCAATCCCAAGCATTATGGTATCTTACCCACAAATAGTTTAGTATGCATGTCCAACTGATAAAGACCTTTTTCCCCCCATAATCACCATGCTGTTGTCACACCTAATAAAATTAGCAATAATTCCCTAATATCATTTAATACCTGACTGCAATTACATTTTACTAATTGCCTCGAAGGTGAGATTTTGCAGTTGTTTTGTCTGAATCAGGATCCACATAAGGTCCACACATTGCATTTGATTGTTATGCCTCTTAATTCTCTTTTATTCTCTAACAGCTCCTTTCTGTGTGCTTTGCATGTATTGATTTGTTGAGGAACACAGTCCTTCATCCTGTAGGATGTGCTACATTCAGGGTCTAGCTAATTGCTTCATTGCGCCATTTAACCCGTTCCTCTAGCTCTTATGTGTCCTGTATATTAATCATAGAGTCTAGATGTCTGAGAAGATTCAGGGTCAATTTTAAGACAAGAATACTGGCCAGGTGATGCTATGTATATACTTCTTATTGTACCACCTTATGATGCTCATAGTTCTGGTTGCCCCACTGTGAGTATTGCCGAGGCCGGTCATTAGACTCACACGGTGTCTGCCTCATCTCTCCGGCATACAGTTCTCTACCCACGTTCCCCCAAAGACTTTAGTATCTGTGAGCATTGTTTCCAAAGATGACCACCAGCAATTGCTCCCACCTCTGGCCCCAGAATCATGGGAACTGGTGACACGCGTCCACCTGGATTCAGAATTGCCTGCTAGGTGCTTCCCATTCTTTCCTCTTTGGAGCAGGAGTGCCTACTGCAGTCTTAACATTGCACATTGGGTATGTGGATGGGGAAATAACTTGTCCTCTTACCTCATAGGTCTCAGAGCAATAGGAGCTGCACATGAGGGCCTGATTTAGATGACAAGATCCTGGACTTTGAGCTGATGCCAAACTGATGCCAAAATGGAGACAGTTGTAAGAGGGGGTAGTTGTATTTTGCATGTGGAATGGACATGAATCATTGTGGCCAGAGACAGGCAGCAGTAGTTTGTTCCCAGGGAGAGCCATTTTCCATCAAGAGTGGGAGTCTATTCTCCCCACACCTGTGAATTTAGACTGACTTTGTGACTTGCTTCAACCAATAGATGGTGACAGAGGTGAAGATGTGTCACCTGTAGGTTTAGTCCTTAAGAGACCTGATAGCTTTGATGGCTTCCGCCTGTGCTCTCATGGAAGTCAGGCACAGGACAAACTGTTGAATGCTAAGAGGCCACCTGGAGGAGAACTGAGGCTCTGTGGTGACAGCAAGCACCAAGGCCCCATATCAAGAGTGGGGCCACTGTGGACATTCCAGCCCTGGCTGGGCTCCCAGAAGAATGTGGTTGCATGAGTGACCCCAACTGCCACCATATGACGTAGTTTGTGACGTATCCATAGATGGCTGAGGTAGCATCTATTGATGACTGTGCCTAGGCTCATTAGGATTGTAAAATGTGATTTTCTAATTTCTTCTTCATGTAATTAACTAGAAATCTGCTATTTAAAAAAAAATAGCAGCTCCATAGATAATTCCAATACGCTTCTGGGGGTACTGATCTAGGCAAACACAGCTATCTTCCCCCAATAGCTATTTGTTTACCCTGAAAGAGCCAGTAGAAGAAAGGACAAACACTTGATACTTTCCTTTCCTTATGAATTTTCAGAATAAGGAATTAGTGCTCTAGCATTCCAATTCAACACTGAGGTTTGGGTGGTTTTGCTTTTATTGTTTGTTTGTTTTGGTATCATTACAAACCATGGGGTGTTTATTGTATTTAATATATTTCGGCCCACTGCTGTCATTATCCTTATAGATATTCCAGTTGTCCCTTCTTTGGCCTGGGGGAGATGCCAACTCCAGCTGGCACTGTGTACTTGTGACATGACCCCATTAGTCTTGATAGCTTCCTTGCTCTCTGGTATAACAAGTTGCCCTGGGTTCACCAAATACATTTCCTGCCCCAGACCTGGAACCAGCCATTTCTCCAAGGAGTCTTAGTTCCTTTGGTGGGAAGTAGAACCTATTTATTCTTAATTTACATTCAATTCCAACAAACTTAGAAATTAAATTTCCTAGCCGCAGATGCTTAGAAATATTACATTAGAAATGGGCTGCTATAGACATACGCTTACAACTGTGAAAAGGACAGCTAAGAGTCTACTGATAGGAAAGAAACTGGAAAAAAATTATGAAAGGCAGACATAAGAACTCAAAAATGTCAGCAGTCGGGCATGGTGGCACATGCCTGTAATGCCAGCTGCTCGGGAGGCTGAGGCAGGAGAATGGCTTGAACCCGGGAGGCGGAGCTTGCAGTGAGCCGAGATCGTGCCACTGCACTCCAGCCTGGGCGACAGAGCGAGACTCCGTCTCAAAAAAAAAAAAAAAAAAATGAATCCAGCTCAGCTCCAAACTTGCATTCTCCAAAGTTCTTCAATGTTCCTATTTGAAATTAATCTTACATTTTATTTCTATTTACTCTATACTATTTATGAGGTTGTTGTTGTTTTGATCTGTGCTTGCCTAGATCAGCACCCCCGGAAGCCTATTGGAATCATCTAAGGAGCTGTTTATTTGAAAAGAAAGAAAAAAGGGTGACATCTAGTTCCCAGTCTCAGAGATTCATATTCAACTAATCTGGAATGGAACCCAGGCATCTATATATTTTTTGAACTTGACAGATGATTCTACTAGATAGCCAGGGTTGAGAATCACTGGTGTAGCCTGTGATCCTGGAAAGCCTGAGGCTCACTAAGTAATCCTTGTATTTCCCATAGCAGCATTACCTAGAACTGCCATTCATTAAGTGTTTGCTGAATTTAATTGAGATTGAAGTGACCAGAAACCCTGAATCAGAAATCCCAGGGTGACAAATTACAGAAAATGTTTCACCTCAACCCCTCAAAGGACTGGACCCATACCTATCTGGGAAACTTGGCCATCCAGAACAATGTAAGGGTATTGGATAGCTCAGGTTCTCATTTGTTTGAATTATTATTTTTTTACTATATTGTAGAAGGTTTTATCTCAAAACATTGAATCTGCTGTTAGAGGCATTTGTTGGAATGACCCCTACAGATGCAGTAGCTGGAATCTGCATGTAGCCAGTAACCTGGGAGTTATGGTAACGTGGCCTGGAGATAAAGCTACTGTGATATGGCCAATGGCCAACAGAAGACTCTCCGAACACTGCCACACTGACCTTCCTGGTGGCACATGATCCTACACTGCCTGACTTTGCTTCCTAACATCCCTTGTGTGCATGTGGCTCATTGAAACTTCTGATGGGAAAGGAACAAATACACCTCGTAGCCTGCCTCTCTGTATTCCGTGAGCACTTGGTGCTGTGTTAGCCATAATACATACTCAATACATGAGTGTGGAGCCTTTCAAAAGGAGCTCTGCGTGTGCTTACTGCCAGCCCTCTGGAATGAGGACTCTATCTAACCACAGCTAGGGCCACATATTTCACTATCCTCATTAACATGATACAGCCACAAAGACATTGGAAATGGGATCCTTTCTATTTTAGGAGAAACAAAGAACTACAATTTTCTCCAAAAATAACCTAGATTGGAATTTCTTCCACCCATGAGAGCGCTATGTTTATGTACATGCAGTTCCAAGACCTGTGTCAACAGCATTCTAAAACAATGCTTCACTTTAATAATCACATATCATAAGCATTACATTTCCATTAGTTTTGAAAATTTTTTATCCTAACAAAGCCAGGATCATTCTTCCCCCCATATAATACAGCAGTCCTATACTAGGATGCCTACAGAGGAACAAAAAGTGAACTAGGGATATTAGTGCCCCACTCCAGGAAATTGGGCCAGGCTAGGAGGGTCCAGAGACTCTAGCACAAGCTCCATGCAGATCAGACCTGGTCTGGGGGGAAGCCCCATTTTCAACCCATGTGTCTATTTCCAGTTCCTGTAAGGAGACTAGCTTAGAATAAACTCTAGAATCAAAGTCAAGCCCTGAAATGAAATTTGGCATCTCTAATGAAATTAGAAAAATTTCTTAGAGCCATTCTAGGGTTGAATCAAAAGCCTGACCAATTTAGAGCCCAAATCACATTACACAGAATGTAATTTCTAGTGCACAATGAAGGCATTATTTATCTGCTGTCTATCCTCAGGGTTCTTCCCAAAGCTAAGTACAGATTTGCCATGTAATTCCCAGGCAGGCTCCCGAAAGTAAGTCCTTTGTCCTTCAATGCTCCTCCGCCAGGTGAAGTGTTTGAGAGGTGTGGGAGCAGTTTTAGTGGTCACATTAACGGGGAGTATTACAGGCACCTGAATACGACCCAAGGATGCTATACATCCCATGATGCATAAGATAATCCCATCAAAGAACTGTCTTGCCTAAACACTGGCAACACCTCCTCTGAGCCTAATAATTAAATTGCTTCATTACTAAGTTGGAAATTAATATGTTAAGACCTATACTGCTTATTTGGCTCTTCTATTGTAGGCAGGTTGCGACTACCTATATTATTGAATAGAACAGACAAATGCACCTGGAGACAGCGATACCACGCTCTTCCACGTAGGAAATCATCCATTGTTAGGGGACATGCTCGTCAGTATCTGCCTTTAGCTGAGGCCACAGATTAGCATTTATAGACATAGAGAACATAACAGTAATTCCACTTTCTGCTCAGCCCATAGTCTGAATTTGGGAACAGTGATAGGAAAATCCAGAAATCAGCTTCAGCACAACAATACCAACACAAAGAAAATGAAAGTCAAAAGCAAGTCCAACACTAGGCAGGAGATATGGAGACAGCCTGGGAAATTATCAGGTAAATTAAAAGACTGAAAAAAAATTACTACTATTTACATGAAAGTGATTTTCTGTAATGAAGGAGGCTGGTCTAGATTCTCTTATACATAGAAAGTTACGAAACTGTCCCGCTGGTGAGGCAGAAGTGCTTGGTTCCCTTTTGTATTTTTAGTTCGTATTTCTTGTACCTAAAACTAAAAATGGACACCTATAAAACTGAATGCAATTGCTTTTAAGAAAATACAACCCAAGTGAAGTGCTGTCACCCAGTGCTTTTGAGAGATGTGTCCTCTAGGAGGATCAGGAATGAGCGATGAGAGACGTACCCTGAGTAGGCTTTAAGCGGGAAAGATCATTCAGCATCCCAGATAAATTCTGTGTGTTAGTTCAGTGCCCCAAATTCAAGAGGTGAGGTGCATTTTGTTTAATGCACTAGATGTCTAGGAATGTTATAAATGTCTACCAAAATATGCAAATAAACACGTCTTCATTTATTAGTCAAATATTTGTTGCGTAACTACACCACGGTGCTAACAGAGCTAGAGGGTTTTTCCAATATATATTCTGGTTCCACAGAGCTGAACAAAAGGATGAGTGGAGGGTAGCGATAGAGGAGACCACCAGAAAACAGGAGAAAATGGGTCAAGCAGGATGCAGGGGTGTGGATTTTGCCTCCGTACATCAAATCGTCCCTGGAAACAGTTTTCAGCAAAGGCTGGTGTAGGCAGGTGGTATATGTCCCTGACAAGTGCCAGTAAGAAAGCCAGCGGCCGGGCACGGTGGCTCATGCCTGTCATCCCAGCACTTTGGGAGGCTGAGGTGGGCGGATCACGAGGTCAGGAGATCGAGACCATCCTGGCTAACACGGTGAAACCCCGTCTCTGTTAAAAATACAAAAAATTAGCCGGGCATGGTGGCGGGCACCTGTAGTCCCAGCTATTCGAGAGGCTGAGGCAGGAGAATGGCGTGAACCCGGGAGGCAGAGCGTGCAGTGAGCCGAGATTGTACCACTGCACTCCAGCCTGGGCGACAGAGCAAGACTCCGTCTCAAAAAAAAAACAAAAAAAAAAAAGAAAGCCAGCAACTTCTCCTGTCTAAATCATCTCTCCTGTTTTCTGGAGCCTCATGCTCCGAACAGCTTCTTAGTGCCCTGAAGAATGTGCTGCAGCTATTCCTGGTTGGCCCACAAGATTTTCTGTTACAGAGATTCTGTCCAATTTCTATTATTAATAGAGCTATTGAAATACTCTTCCAGAATATATTTGAAGACATGATAGAATTTGGACAAAACTTTCCAGAGCTAGAATATAAACTGCAGGCCATAATAGGATGGCTGGAGAGCTCTTTGAAAAAGAATCTTATATTTATTTACAGGTGATGAGGCTGGACTGGGTAGAAGCCAGTGATGATATAAGCCATCATTGGAAGGTGGCCTGACATTGCTGAATACTCTCGCGGGTTCAGGAAGTAGCGTGAAATCCTGGTGGATGTTTCCCAAGAGAGTTGAGGATTCAGGAATGAGGCTCTCTGGGTCTTCCATTGTCCTAGATGAAAATGTCACAGTTACTCTAACACAGGGCATCATCCCAGATGTGGAGCTTCCAGAAAGCTCTGCAAGCCATAATCAATATTTTGCCGAGTAGCATCATATCACAGCAGAACTGCAACTCTGAAGCTTAGGCTTTTCTTTCCCTGGATATATTAACTGATTATCTGGCCAAACAATCCCTTCCTAAATGTTGGCTCCTTTGGGGGCTATAGAAGAATATTCTCAGGACTTGAAATGGTGAGATGAATGTCTAAAATTTGGGGGCAGGGAGTTTAGAGATCTTTTAGACTGAAGTAGGACCTCCTCCTGCTCCCTGTTCAGAAGGGACAGAGAAAGGGAGTAACTTAATCCTACAAGAGGTGCCATGTGCTTCTACTTCACCACAAAGTATTTTTGACTAAAGACAAAACAACTCTCATGGCAGGATGTGATTGCTTTCACTTTTACTGAGGCCATTTAAAAGCAAAAGCATTGAAACCAGCAAAGAGGAGGGAAGAAAGAAGATACCACTAAGTGGCTGCATCTCTACTTTGACAGTAACATCTGCGAAGGCTTGGCTGCCAATGAGACATTATCTTCACCATCAGCTGGGTAAGAGGCAGCCTGATAGGTCTGCCCAGAGGAACATCCAGCCTTAATAACACACACACACATGCACACATGTACCCAGTCTACTCCCTGTCTGCTATCCCACTGGCCATTTACCCAAGGCAGACTTTCACACCCCGGAGTTAGGTAAATTACAGCCTGGTAGTTTAGAGGCCTTGAGGCTCATACAATTGAAGTCATGATCTCATCATTTCATGCACAGATTTCATCCCGCTCCCCTCTCAGACTTATCTCAAGGACAAGATAGAAACAAATCTATCTGATTGGTAAACCAGCTGTGAGTCAAGTTAGCCATAAAAATATTTTTAACTTATTGATTAATTATTTGATGCATAGGCACACACGATTATTTTCAGACTGCTGGGAAGAGACATTCATTACATGTTATTATTCCAGAGGGACGGAGCCTAAGCCAAAAGCCTACAGTTACCTCCCCACATTCTGTTGTGATGGCTCTTGACCTGGTTTCCAGCTTACAGTAGCACAGATTAGATTTGGAAGGCAAGTCTTTCAAGAACAGAACTCACTTCATCTCATGGGAGTGTTGGCTGTCTTGGCTTGTCTCAGCTTCTTCAGATACAGATAGTCAGATTCCATGGTCATTGAGCCCTGGACTCATCCAAATTTGGGTTGTCACTGCTAGAAGATTTTTGATTTTTATAAATGTCTCATATCCCACCGATATATTTACCTTAATCAAACCAGCATCTTTGAGAAGTAGGCCTGGGAGCGGTACATTTTTGGGAGTCCTCTTATGAAGGCCTGCTTCACCACCATGGTATTAGAGATATCAGTTTGAAGATGTGGAAGCATTCCATTGGAATAGTCAAGCCCAAAAGTGAGGTAAGTAGGTCTTTCAATTCTTAGAAAAAAAAAAATTTTAAGTCTGTTGTTGGAGAAATTTGAAAGGGATGAATCAGAAGTAGATTCTATAGCTGATGCCTGTGGCACACCATGTCCCTTCCTTTTGGTTTGTCTAGTTCAACTGTGCAACTGTGACGTGTGTGTGCTGCCAGTGACTCAAACCAAGTGCATTTCTCAGGGTCCTTCTGCTTTGCTGGCTCAGAGCTTTCCCAAAAACTATTGTAATCAGCTTTGCTTCAGTTATTTGCAATCCATACACTGGAGTTAAGACCTTTGAAAGCAGCCCTCAAATAACAGGGACAGGGGCCAGTGTATAAATGTCAGAGGCTCCCTCTCTCCTGGTGGGACAATTTTGAGTTACATTCTACACAGAACATCCCCAGAAGGGTTGATCCTTCTTGTCTTACTCTCCCTACCCCCTCATTTCTACTTCCAGGGATTATCTTCCAAATAAACTACCTGCTCTCAAGTGAGCAAGCTCTTCTTTCAGGACATCATCTCCAGGAGTGTGGTACTTGTCCAGGATATCAGATGGGACTCTTCCAGTTGAAAATGGCAGAAAACCCAGCAGAAAATATATTTTGATAAATTGGAAAGGGTGGCCTCATTTACCTGAAAAGTCTAAGGATGGAATTGACTTCGGGTACTATAAGGCATAGATTTAAAATATCACAACGCCATCTTTTGGCTCAGATAGATCTGCTGTCCTCCTTATGGTCAGCTTTATACTCAAGTAAGTTCTCTCTCTGTGGTCATAAGATGGCTATAGTCATTCCAGATCTTCTCTTCTTTAAGCTTCAATTCCAACTAGAAAGAGCAAGAATATCTTTCCCAGAGAGTTTAGAAAAAGCCCCACGGTGTATCTTTGGCTTTCTTTGGGTCACATGTAGATACCAAATTGGATGTTCCACATCTAGATATGAATGTATCATTGAGGGAATCAGGATGAGGTGACCTCCCCAGGGGAAATCACATAGAGTTGTCAGAATAAGAGTAAATACTGACTGGGTGGCAAAATACAACTGAAATCCATTACATCCCCTCTTTTGGCTTCCTGGAACACCATACACATACATCCTTCCTTCCACACCTTGCAAGTTTCTGTACTTACTTAAAATAAACTCCCTACTTGTCCAAAAAAAAAATCATCCAAGTCTAATCCAGCATCAAGCCTAAGATCTCTGGATGATATGCAATTTTGTCAGTCAAGGCAAAATATCATGCCTCATAATAATTTTGACAACCCCTAATTCATTCAATGTACCATGGTGGAGAGAGAACAAGAGAATGGCCATAAAGCCACCACTTGGGAAAGGCAAGAACGAGAAAAATTTACAGTATTCACCAATCCAGAGCACATGTCATGGCCTGCTCAACAAGAATAACAAGACTGAATTACTGCCTGGCGTTGGACTTTCATCCTTGGTTAGGCAGCCTGGATGCCCTGGGAGGCTCCCCCCTCCCCATTTTCTTCCATAGCCCATGGAAGCAAGAGCCATGCTTACATGGAACATATAGTTAGAATTCATTTGGTTCCAAAAGACCAAAAATCCAACCCAACTAGGCCTTTGGAAAAATGTAATTTACTAGCTAAGATAACAGAAAAGTTCAGGGGTAGCATTGGGTTCAAGGGTAGTTTGCTGCAACCAACCCCTGTTAACCAGGACCCAGCTTCTCTTCAGCACATGGTCAATTAGCCATGGCCTATTCTGTGTTTTGGCCTTATTTTCAGAGAGTCTGTCTTCCTGATCCTGAGATTTCTACAGAAGATCTAGATTGTGTATCTTTTAGGTTTTAAGCTCAATAGGATTTTACTTTATTTGCCCTGGTTGTGTCATATTCAGTCCCTGGTTGGGAACTGAAATATCCTGATTGCTCAGACCTCAGTCATATGTTCCACACCCCGAAGAAGCCAAGGCCACCTGAAGGAGATAGAATGGAAGTGCATTAGGGGTGGTTCCCCAGAAGGATATTGGGGTGTGGTTATGAGAGAAGAGTGAATGGATGCTGGGCAGTAAGGCACATCAACCGGATCCAGAGGCATGGGGACGTCCTGACTCACACATACACCCAGACCAGGATCTCTATCCCTGGCTTTCTAAATAACATTCAGGTTGACCTGGAGCTGGTGCTGCTGCACTCAGCTGAGAACTCAATAAATGAGTGATTCACCTGAGGCCAGTGAGTACATGATGCCAAGGTCCCAATCAGGAAGGAAGTTGTTGAAAGAAGGCATGGATGTTGCATATGCCACAGGGCATTGCAGTGTCTCTGACTGTCCTGACCTTGTCTGGAAAGTTCTTTTCTGTTTGTCACCCTCTAAGAGCTGGATATGGTTGTGTGTTCCAAAGATGCAATTTTACAAAGGCTCAAGCTCTCAAAGTTGCTCCAGAGGATTGGGGTTGCGGGTGGTGGGTAGTCAGGTTGTAATTCCGTATGTTCATGCTCAAGCTCAATGCCAAGAAGAACTCACAGCTAGAGAATAATAGAATCAAAAGATAAATATGGTATATCTTTTCAGAAAATCTATTTTGCTTAATAGAAAGTAATTTAAAACATTACTTATATAACAAACAGATGTATAATGGAGTAGATTGAAAAGTTTACAATAATTTTAAGATAAGCGGTAAATTTCAAAGAAATATTCAAGCTTGCTGTGGAGACCCAAACTAAAATAACTTGCATAACAAAGAGGGGAAAAAACACCTTTTTTGGATGGGCGCGGTGGCTCACGCCTATAATCCCAGCACTTTGGGAGGCCGAGGCGGGCAGATCACCTGAGGTTGGGAGTTCGAGACCAGCCTGACCAACATGGAGAAACCCTGTCTCTACTAAAAATACAAAATTAGCCAGGCATGGTGGCACATGCCTGTAACCCCAGCTACACGGGAGGCTGAGGCAGGAGAATCGCTTGAACCCAAGAGGCGGACATTGTGGTGAGCCAAGATCACACCATTGCACTCCAGCCTGGGCAACAAGAGTGAAACTCCATCTCAAAATAATAATAATAATAATAATAATAATAATAACAACTTTCTCTTTCAGGCAGAGATGAAGAAGCATGATCCTCATCTAAGAAGTTAATCCTCTCAGCAGAAAGCTCAGTGACTTGGCAAGGTATTCTTAATAGCCAAGGAACAGCCACTGTGTGTGGCTGAGCAATGGGCCTGTTTATTATCCCCAACAGACCCACAGGGAGACAATTTAAAATGCAAGGTGAACAGAATCCTATTGTGAGTAAGTAGGACTTGCAGTGATGGAACTGTGAGGAAAGTATTGATCTCTTTCTCTCTGCTAGACAGGAAAATAAATACAATTATCTCCAGTATCCACTGAAGATTGGTTCATGGCCCCCCGAAGGATGCCAGAATTCACAGATGTTCAAGTCTCTGATATAAAATGGCATGGTATTTGCATATAACCTATGCACATCCTCTCATATACTTTAAATCCTCTCTAGTTTACTTGTGATACCTAATGCAAAGTAAATGCTATGAAAATAGTTGGCATACTATATTGTTTATGGAATAATGACAAGGAAAAAAATGTACATGTTTCATACAGACACGATTCTTAAAAATATTTTCAATCTGCAATTGGTTGAATCAATGCACGTGGAACCCACGGATATGGAGAGCTGACCATATCCACATCTGCAACTCACACTGTTAGGCAGGGCATAAACAAGTCTGCCAGGCAGTCTCATAGGAGAGTCTGACACAGCATATTCAGGAGCAGTAAAACCAAAGTCCATCGCCTGCACAATTCTGCAGAACTTGGATGGCAGAGGCCACCACAGCCTGTCCCTCCCTGAGCTACTGGGATGCTATTTCCAGACTGACTTGCTGAGACTTTGCAGAAGTTCTGCTGGGAGGAGGAAGGTGTATGCTGGGTCATAACAATGCATGTGACAAGGTTTCCCAAATGGCAGGAGAGTCAAGTTGGAGCTTAGAGGGTGGAGGTGCATGGCACAGAGGCTTGAGGGCCTGAGGGCAGAAACTGGGTACCTCAGGCTGGGCGTGGTGGTTCACATCTGTAATCCCAACACTTTGAGAGGCGAAGGCAGGCAGATCGCCTGATGTCAGGAGTTCAAGACCAGCCTGGCCAACATGGCGAAACCCCATCTCTACCCAAAATACAAAAATTAGCCAGGCATAGACGGGGGGTGGTGGCGCCTGTAATCCCAGCTACTCTGGAGGCTAAGGCAGGAGAATCAGTGAACCCGGGAGGCAGAGGTTGCAGTGAGCCAAGATTGTGCCACTGTGCTCCAGCTTGGGCAACAAGAGCAAAACTCTGTCTCAACAACAACAACAACAACAACAACAGGCCGGGAACAGTGGTTCACACCTGCAATCCCAGCACTTTAGGAGGCCAAGGAAGGTGGCTCATCTGAGGTCAGGAGTTCGAGACCAGACTGGCCAACGTGGCGAAACCCCATCTCTACTAAAAGTACAAAAATTTGCCTGACATGGTGGCCCATGCCTGTAATCCCAGCTACTCGGGAGGCTGAGACAGGAGAATCACTTGAACCAGGGAGGCGGAGGTTGCAGTGAGCTGCACTCCAGCCGGGGCGACAAGAGCGAAACTCCGTCTCAAAAACAAAAAAACAAAAACAAAAAAGAAAAGAAACCAGTACATCAGAACAGGGTCCCTGTGGGAGGTGGACTGCCTTGCATGCTTGCCCTTAGACTATGGGCACTGCCAGCTTATGGTTTGCAGTTCTTCCCACTATGTGTTGTCATTCCCTTTAGTTTTCCCCAGTCCTTCAGTAAATCCTATCTACCCATGTAGCTATGTGTGGTGGGCTGTAAAGAGGACCTCTGCAGAGCCAAAAGAGGGCTGCAAAACCTGTCCCACTAGAGCAGAAACTGAGAAGTGAGGGTGACTGCCCAGCTCACATCCACATGGTGGTTGTATCTTTACCTTCCTTTCTTTGGTGAAATGGCCTCACTGTAGCAGGTGATCCATGTGCCAGCTGCAGGGGACCACTCCCATGACCACATGCGTCCAGAGGAGGCTTTTGGCCCTAGCTAGGCTCGTCAAGCTGACCCAGGAGGCAAGCCAGGCCAATGAGAACCCTTGCCCAGGTTTTTTCAGCTAAAGCTGGAAGAAGCTCTTTCCTATCAGTTGGGAAAGCTGGGAAGATTGTGCCCAATGCTGCCAGCAGCTGTAATTTTAATCCTATGGAGTGAAACAGTTTAGGAGAACGATGGCATGTAGAAAGAAAGAGGTAAAAGACAGAGCCTGAGTTTTGGGTAACCCTGTGTTTTCTATCTACAGGAGGACAGGTGCCCAGATGGCTTTGTACTACCCGGCTCTCCCTACTCCTGCTGGTAGTTCTTGGAATAACTGTAGAATATACAGAGACCGCAACATCCTAAGGTAAGGGGCAACTGTCCAGAACTGCCTGGGCTATGTCCTCATCCCTCCTAGAACAGGATGGCCTGCAGTACTTGAACTCAGTGATCCAAGTTCCACCAAGGGCATAAAACTCAGAGTGGAGTGCTTTTGCGGTCCCTTAGCTGCAATGCAACATGGGTCATGTGCAGACAAGACTCCAGCCACCCAGGGCAGCCCCCCTGAGCCTGGGGGAACTGGCTTGCCGTGGATCCTAGGCTTCTGTTTATCCTCACCACCTATCTGTGAGTAATAAAGTTGCTTTGCCTGACTCATGCGACTGTTCTTTCTCACTAGACTCCAGTGATAAAGAACCTTTGTACTACTTTTCATGTGAGTCAATACATTCCTCTGAGCTTCCTTGGATAATCAGATTATCCAAGTTGATTGGTATTGGATAATCATCCTGTTTAATCAGCATCGTTTCACATACATACTTGTGCACACACATGCACATGTACACCCATAGGCACACATACACACACACGTGCATATGCAAAGAGCAAGGGCACTGTAGTCAGTGGGTTCCAGACTGAGACCAGCAGTGAAGGAAGTGAAGCGTAAAGTTGAAAAGGTGAGAATATAACTCTGAGAGGTCAAATGAGAGCAGATGGGAGACATCCACCCCTCTTTCCCCAATATTATAGAGGGAAGGGACTTCTTAAAGGTGGAAAGACCTGTAATCCTAGCACTTCGGGAGGCCGAGGTGGGCAGATCACGAAGTCAGGAGATCGAGACCATCCTGGCTAACATGGTGAAACCCCATCTCTACTAAAAATACAAAAAATTAGCCGGGCATGGTGGTGTACGCCTGTATTCCCAGCTACTCAGGAGGCTGAGGCAGGAGAATGGCGTGAACCCGGGAGGCGGAGCTTGCAGTGAGCCAAGATAGTGCCACTGCACTCCAGCCTGGGTGACAGAGCGAGACTCCATCTTAAAAAAAAAAAAAAAGGTGGAAAGACTGACAGTTTAGATTTGCAAGTTCCAGAGCAGAGCTAGAACCTGAGCTTTGAGACATAGACTACAGTTCATTCTATCTACTACACCAAGGGGACCCCATGAGTTAAAGGGAATGATAACAAGAATGAGTGTTTGTAGCAACAATTTCCCAATCAAACTGATAACAATCATGAAAATATTCCTCAGGTTTACTTTTACATCTAAGGCATCAGAATAGATTTGGTCTTTTATAACATGCAATTATTTTCTAAATAAACTTTGACATTCCTGAGAAGTTGCTAGTAAGATTCATTTTTTCAGATATTAAAACCAAGATGCTGAGAAGATACTCTCAGAGCTTAGAATATATTCCAGAAAAAAAGGTAATAAAGGAGGCTGCTATGAATTGAATGGTGTCTCCCAAAATTCATATATTGAAGCCCTGGCCCCCAGCGTGATGGAATCTGGAGACAGGGACTTCAGACAGGGATTAGGGTTAGATGAGGCCATGAGAGTGGGACCCTAAAGATTGGATTAGTTCCCTTATAAGAAGAGGAAAAAGCCCGAGAGCCCTCTCTCCTCGTGCATGCCCGGAGGAAAGCCCCTGTGAGGACAGAGTGAGAAGACAGCTGTCCGCAGGCCAGGGAGAGAGCTCTCACAGCAACCAGATCAGACAGTAGTTTTTGAGATCAGCCTTCTAGCCTCCAGAACTGTGAGAAACAAACTTCTGTTGTTTCAGCCACCACCCAGTCTGTGGCACTTTGTTATAGCAGCACAAGCTGACTAATACAGAAGCCAAGATCACAATTACTGCAACCAAGTGTGCCAGGTTCCCTGGTTTCTAATCTGAATTTCCAGTATTCTATTGCATTGTCAGATAAGGCCCCAGACTAAGTGTCCACTTTTCTTTGTTTGAAAAAGAAAAGAGATAGGAATGGATTATCCTTGTGGGTCTAGATTATCCTTTGTGGGCCTAAAAACCTGAAATGCATTCTAGCCATCCTCAGTGGTTCCTTGTTAATAATTCTTGACCTAGAAAATAGTTTGGATAATTATATTTTTTCAAAACTACAAAGCCCTGCTATAGATGATAAGATCCATTTTCAAAGGAAGGGAAAATCTATAAAATTGGAGACAAACTTTCCGGTTCAGAAAGTTCTTGGTCACTGGTCTATTCTGAAAATGTCAAAAAGTTTCTCATGTTCTAAAATTATGTTTTTTATTCTATTGTGGAGAAGTGAACGGTAGATTTTTTTAAAGCATTAGGTACTAAAAAAAGAATAAATCACTTTAATCAGAAGCCTTTTTCTAAGACATGAAATCTCTTTAATGGTATTGATATTCTGCCTTTGCAGGCTTATATTTTTGAGTCACTCTCCTGACCTTGTGTGCTCACGTTGAAGTGCAAAAATTATTTCTGGAAATTGGTTGTAAACACAAGCAATGAAGGAGTAACCAACCATGAAAGCAATTAATTAAAAGAGCTCCCACTTAATTCCATGTTTTCTACAACCAACTCTTTTAGAAAATTGGTCACATTATAGACTCAGATGCACTATTCATTAAATTTAAAAAAATTACAGCCACATATAGTTACCCACAAGAAGCTGGCATTAGTGCAGCACCTCATCCCTGTGAGATGGGGTAAGAGCTACTTTTCTTTATCTTTTTTCCTTTTGTGTTTAGTTGACACAGAGAGCTAGTTTTCTAAGAGCCTCAGGGTATGGCTTAATTTTGAGAAATGCTAAGGCAAAAATAAGGTGGGAAGGGAGAAATTACAAGGAAACATATGAATATCATTATAATATTTTATATTCACAAAAAATAAGCAGAAAGGCAACATATGGGGTAAATAAATGACCAATGATGTTTTTATTGTGGTGAAACACACATATCATAAAATCCACCGTCTTGATACATTTCTAAGTATTGGTAACTGTAGACACAATATTGTCCAGCAGATCTCTAGAGTGTTTTCATCGTGGATGACTGAAACGCTATACTCACTGAATAACAGCTTCCATTTCCCCCTCTCCCCAGCCTCTGGTAACCACCATTCTTCTTGTTTCCATGAGGCTGACTACTTTAGACACCCTATATATGTGGAATCATGCAGTAGTTGTTCTTCTGTGAGTGGTTCGTTACACTTTGCATAATGTTCTCCAGGTTCATCCATGCTGTAGATTAGGACAGGATTCCCTTCTATTTTTATAGCTGAATAATATTCCATTGTATGCAAATACAGTAGTCCTCCCTTATCTGCAGTTTTGCTTTCTGTGGTTTCATTTACCCAGAGTCAACCGCAGTTTTTAAATATTAAATGGAAAATTCCAGAAATAAACAGTTTCTAAGTTTTAAATTGCACACCGTTCTAAGCAGCATGATGAAATTTCGAGCCATCCTGCCTGGGCCAGGAGTCATCCTTTGTTAAGCAGATCCATGCAGTCCTCAGTACCCACCTATTAATCGCTTACCAGCCTCCCAGGTTCTCAGATAGACAGTGGTAACATTGCAGTGCTTGTGTGTAAGTCATACTTGTACTTCATACTGGCCCCAGAGCACAACAGCAGCATGGTTGAGTAGGTATTTCTTATTCTCCCGCAGCATGGGTGAGTACACGTTCTTAACATCCTTTCCCAATACTCAGAGTTATGCAGCCTTGACTTGCCCAGCATCACTTCAAGACTAATTTGGAGCTGTCAGCTCCTCTGATTAATGTCTCAACTCCCTCCATCCCATGGACAGATTTTAAATCCCAGATTAAACTTTCTTTCCCTTCCTTTTTTTTCTCCCAAGTTTTAGTGAAAAAAACCTCTCTTCCTGGTCTGCCATTCACTTTATCTTCTATTTCTATTTCCAACTGCTATGGTTTGAATTTGTCCCCTCCAAAACTCATGTTGAGTCACCCTAATATGCCAGTTTTGAAAGGTGGGGCCTTTAAGAGGTAATTGGATCATGGGTGCCCTGACCTCATGCATGAATTAATACATTAATGGATTGATGGGTAAATGGATTAATGTGTTAATAGATTAATGGGCTAGTAGATTAATATGTTATCATGGTATGGGGACCGGTGGTTTTATTTTATTTATTTATTTTTGAGATGGAGTCTCACTCTATCGCCCAGGCTGGAGTGCAATGGCACGATCCCGACTCACTGCAACCTCTGCCTCCTGGGTTCAAGGGATTCTCCTGCCTCGGCCTCCTGGGTAGCTGGGACTGCAGGCACGTGCCACCTCACCCGGCTAATTTTTTGTATTTTTAATAGAGACAGGGTTTCACCATGTGAGCCAAGATGATCTCAATCTCCTGACCTCGTGATCCGCCTGCCTTGGCCTCCTAAAAGGGCTGGGATTACAGGTGTGAGCCACTGCGCCCGGCCAGGACTGGTGGTTTTAAGAGAAGGGGAAGAGAGACCTGAGCCACCATGCTCAGCCCTTCACTATGTGATGCCCTGCACCACCTCAGGACTCTGCAGAGTCCCCTCCAGCAAGAAGGCCCTCACCAGACGCAAACCCTCAACCTTAGACTCCTCAGCCTCCAGAACTGTGAAGAATAAATTCCTTTTCTTTATAAATTACCCAGTTTTAGGTATGCTGTTAGAAGAAACAAAAAATGAGCTAAGACACCAACCTCCCAATGTTATTCTTTTCTAAATTGCAAACATAAGAAACAAAGTTTCGCAGTTGAAAATGGTACACAGAAGTACATTTTGGCGGGACATGACTGTGGTGGGGAAGAAATTACTACAATCCTTTGAAACCATGTTTTAAAGATTTCACTTGAAATTTGAAAGCAAGCAATAGGGTGTCCGTAAGCAACTGTCTAGGCTACTCATTAGGTGTTAATTCTGTTTTAAAGATCATGAGAACCCATCAATAACAGAAGTACAGAAATTGTGGCAGATTGTATTTTCCAAATATGGCCACAATTATCTCACATCCCACATGTTCTTCTTGCAATGTGACTTTGACAGCCCTCCCACAGAGAGGTGAAATCTCTTGAGTCTGGGTAGGCTTGTAAGTGATGAAAGGGATGTTGTATGACTTTTGAGACTGGTTTGCAAAAAATGTTACGGCTTTCCCTGGTTTTCTTGGACTTCCTGCCTTTGGAGGTCTGAGTCACAATGTCAACCATCTACCTGCTCTAAGGCCTCCATGCTAGGAGGAAGCACAAACTCTCCCCTCCAGGGAAACCACATGCAGAGTCCCTGGTGAAAAAAGAAAGATGTGATAAAAGAGAGATGTCTGACCAGCCCCAGCTGTTCCAGCTCCAGCCACTGTCTGATCACAACCACACTGGAGATGGAAGCCTGAAACACCCGGCAAAGCCCTTCCTGAATTCCCGACCCACAGAAACCATAAAAGATAAGCCACTAAGTTTGGGGATGATTTGTTCATTATAATAGATAACTGATACAGGATTATTAATCTTTTCTCTTTCTTCTTATAAAATATTCTCTCCCATAGTCTTTCTTAAAATTGAGTATTGAATGGACTTGATGATTACAGGTGCCTGCCACCACGCCCGGCTAATTTTTGTATTTTTAGTAGAGACGGGGTTTCACCATGTTGGCCAGACCAGTCTCAAACCCCTGACCTCAAGTGATTCACCCACCTCAGCCTCCCAATGTACTG